>NC_000003.12:130523755-130675270 GCF_000001405.40 Homo sapiens | reverse complement strand
TCTTGAAAGAATTTTGCCTTCTGTAATACATCTTCTTTGAGGGTAGCTTTAAGTGGTCCAGGAACAAAGCTATACAACAAAAGAGAACATCATAGAAGATAAATGCCATTTCAACTTTAATAGACTACATATTAATCTGTCATAGTAAATTAATTGTTTCACCCATTTCCTTGTTGCAGCCTTCCTCCAGGGTAATTTTAAAATTAAACTGGGTACTTAAACTGGCTCATATATCAGAAGCTGACAAATGATACATCTCATCAAAGTATGCAAAAGTATTACTTCAGCAGCAAAGTTTCTTCATGGAATATGTACCACTCATTTCTACCTATGGTTGGTTCTTCTGATTGTTTAGATTTGGGTTCAAATGGTACCTCATCACAGACCACCATATCTATAGTTTTCCCAGATCCACTCCTACTTACAGTCCCTCAGCACATCATGCTATTTTCTTTATAACACTTGGCACTATCTGAACTTTTATTTACCTGTAAACTTCCTTATGATCTGTTCCTCACTTTTCCACCCAACCAGACAGAAGGTTCATGAGATCTTGTCTGTTCACTATAGTAATCCCAGGAACCTAAAAGTGCTTAACACATAGCAGTCACTCAATAAGTATTTGTCTAATGAAAGCATGAATGTATGCCATTCCCTTATTTCATCTCTTCCTTTCTTCCATAGGTCCATCCATCCATATGTTTACTATCTGCTTAATAGAAGGCACGGTGTTAGGTACAATGGGGGACATAGAAATAGAGCCCAGTCTGGCAGGCACAGAAAGAGCCTGGCTGGGAATCATGAGTAACCCAACAGTAAAGAGGAGCTGGAGTCAGACTCTGGAAGGGCTTGCAGGACAGGTTGAGAAATCAGGGAATCATAGAAGCCAAGTGCTAAGTAGAACTTAGAGCCTGTCTGAAAAAACCTCTGCTGACAGAAGTGTCCTAGAATCTGTACTACCTATATGGCAGCCATGAGCCACATGAGGCTTTTGAGCACTTGAAATGTAGTGTGACTGAGGAACTGAAATTTAATTTTAATTAACCACATATAGCTGGTGGCTACTGTATTGGCCAGTACAAAAAAGGAGCCATTTCAGACAATCGTATTTTACAGGGATGTTGTGGAAAGAGTTTTGGGTTCAAACACATTCTTCACATTTTAATATTCTAGCCCCTAGCCGAGCAGCTTTGGGCAAATCATTTAACTAGAGTGACCCTTGTTTCTTCAGGTGTAAAATGGGAATGAAAAATAACTTCTGTTGTTGTGAGCAACAACTGAAGTCCCCTAGACTAGTTGTATATATATTTATTTGAGACAGGGTCTCACTCTGTCTCCCAGGCTGGAGTGCAGTGTTGCCATCATAGCTTACTGCAGCCCAGATCTCCTGGGCTCAAGTGATCTTCCTGCCTCAGCCTCCCGAATGGCTGGGACTACAGGTATGTGCCTCCACACCTGGCTAATTGTTTTATTTTTGGAGAGCTGAGGTCTCACTATGTTGCCCAAGCTGGTCTTGAACTCCTGGGGTCAAACAGTCTTCTTGCCTTGGCCTCCCAAAGTGCTTGGATTACAGGAGTTAGCCACCCATGTACCATCCCAGCATTTCCTTATTATCTTGCAGAGTGAACATTATAAACTCAAATTCCCCAAAGTGACGATTGTATGCATAGAACATTGGCTCCACTGATATGGGAAGGGCATTCTTTTGAGTCTGAAGCACGCTGTTTTCATGGTCTTACCTTTACTGGACTCTTCCCTAGCCCCTTCACGCTGCGTCCCCCTACCCCGCACCTCTCCCCACCTCCCCGCCTTTTCCGTTAGGTCCTTTGTTTTCTTTTATGGCAGGTTTAGTTACTGTTACCTTTCTTCCCATCTTTGTTACGAAAAAATTGTTAAATTAGTAAGTGCTTATATAGCATGATATTGCTATATTTTTTCCCCTCTCAAATATTTTTATTCTCAAAAGGTTGAACATTAATACCATATCTTTGAATTTCCGTTTTTCACTATGTTATATGTAGGAGTTTGCACTTGGGTTTTGTTTTTTTTTTTTGTTTTTTTTGTTTTTTTTGTTTTTTTGTTTTTTTTTTTTGAGATAGAGTCTTGCTCTGTCGCCCAGGCTGGAGTGCAGTGGCACGATCTCGGCTCACTGCAACCTCTGCCTCCCGGGTTCAAGCAATTCTTCTACCTCAGCCTCGTGAGTAGCTGGGATTACAGGCACCCACCACCACACCCAACTAATTTTTTTTTTTTTTTTTTTGAGATGGTGTCTTGCTCTGTTGCCAGGCTGGAGGTGCAGTGGCATGATCCCGGCTTACTGCAACCTTTGCCCCCCCGGGTTTCGAGTGATTCTCCTGCCTCAGCCTCCCAAGTAGCTGGGACTACAGGTGTGTGCCACCACGCCCAGCTAATTTTTGTATTTTTAGTAGGGATGGGGTTTCACCATGTTGGCCAGGATGGTTTTGATTTCTTGACCTCCTGATCCACCCGACTCAGCCTCCCAAAGTGCTGGGATTACAGGTGTGAGCCGCCACACCCGGCAATAATCACTTAATAAAAATCATTTGGGCCGGGCGCGGTGGCTCACGCCTGTAATCCTAGCACTTTGGGAGGCTGAGGCAGTTGGATCACTTGAGGTCAGGAGTTCGAGACCAGCCTGGCCAACATGGTAAAACCCCTGTCTCTGCTAAAAATACAAAAATTAGCCGGGTGTGGTGGTACACATCTGTAATCCCAGCTACTCAGGAGGTTGAGGCAGGAGAATCGCTTGAACCCGGGAGGCAGAGGTTGCAGTGAGCTGAGATCACACCACTGCACTCCAGCCTGGGTGACAGAGTGAGACTCCATCTCCAAAAAAAAAAAAAATGTGATTACTCAATTTGAGAATTGTAAGACTTTGTTTCTCTTTATCCTACTATATATTGTTCAAATAATTCTTTGCTGATTGGTAACTCCAATAGCTTGTCAAGACAAAGAATGAAATCGTCTATTTTGCAACTTGTGCTCAGCTCCAGTAAAGTTTGTGGAAAGATGGATGTGACAAATTCTAGATAAGGTTAGGTGGGACTAATTGTAGTTCTCTGTGATCAGATTCCTCCATCTATGCAGATATTCAAGAGTCAGCCATGCTACATCTATTAGTTGACTGGATGCACTGAAATAGAAAATGCAGACAAGATTGCTTCTATTTCCAGAATTCTTTTACATTTGGTGTGCCCAGAAAACGTACTTTGGAAAGCAGAATTATAACAGATGCATTATTCATATGGCATTAGTGATTATGTCCATTTTTACAATTCAATTGTTCTGGCTCTGGCCTATCACTGCTTTAAAGTCTGGCACAGGTTCTTCCCTGGCTGGATGAAGCAATAAACAGGTGGCTTTCTGCCTTTATTGTTTCTGAGTAGATCTAAGTGCTTATATAAAGAGGGTGCCCTGCTCTCTCATCCTCATGGGCCACCTGTCTCCTTGGTAGCTTGTGGTTTGATTCAGCTCCTTCCTTTTCTATCTGATAAGCACCAGCTTCTACATGTATTTCTCATAATCTCACAGAATGACCTAATTCCTATGCAAGTCATTCTAAAGACCTGATGAGTCATCTTTATATCCAGACCTCTTTCCTAGCAGGTATTCTCATCTCCCTCAATCCTGTGTGTTCAATTGTGCCTCACCTCTCTTGAATGGCTCAGGTAAGGAGTTTCAGAAGCAGCTGTGTGGCTCATAACTTTTGATTAGAGTCTTTGATCACTTATAGAATGGCTGGCGAATGCACAGACAGTGGTATGGATTTCATGTCTCAATTCCTTGATGCCCCAGCCATTTGCTGACATTTCACCATTTCAAATACATAGGAGAAGCTGAGCATCCAGTGAATCTGGGGCAGTGTGACGAAAGAGGAAGAAACTTCCTGTCCAAAAGCACTGTGGATCCCCTCTTCCCACTCATATTTCTCTGCAAACATAAAGCATGGTAGGAGTGGTTTTCAAAAATGCCTTTTAATTGCATAGGTTGGCTCCCACATGTGTCCTTGCAGCATTCATGGCTGGCTACATATGTGGAGAGCCGACGGCAAAATGCAAATTCAGGCCCTTAAGTCTAAAAGCAGGGAAAAAAGCTTTCTTCCTTCTGCGATCTCTCCATCTGCCATGGAGGTTTCTATTTGTCATTCAATAAGCTTTCCCCATCCCCTTTACTTGGTGTGTGGCCAGCTGTTGAGTTCCTTTTCCCAACAGCCAGAAGTCAAGCCAGGCATCTCCCCTCTTCCCTTGGCTGGCCATCCCAACCTACAGCAGAGGGGTGTCCAGTCTCTTGACTTCCCTGGGCGACACTGGAAGAATTGTCTTGGGCCACACATAAAATATACCAACGCTAACGATAGCTGATGAGCTTGAAACAAAAAATCACACCAAAATCTCATGTTTTAAGAAAGTTTGCAAATTTGTGTTGGGCCACATTCAAAGCTGTCCTGAGCCTCATGCAGCCTGTAGGCCACAGATTGGACAGACTTGCTCTAGAGTGTTGCAGCCTCTTTGCTGGGACATGCTGGGTGCCTCGATGTAGGTGGGCAAAAGATAAATGCAGCGTGGCACTGCCAGCTTGGGGTGGATGGCCGCTGCCTTCCCTGTCCCAAGACTGTGGGAGCATAACTGACCCTAAGCCTCCCAGTCTAGGGTAGGTGGGGTGGGGGAACCCCAGGGAACTGGGAGGTACACAGTGGTCTATGAGAACCAGTCCTGGGGAAGTGGAGGGAGGTTGACTGGCAAGTGAACCAAGTCTCTAGGTTCCGACTCCCCAACACGTGCTTTATTATCCCATTGGACTTCACTATAAAACTCAAATTCAAAAATAACACTAATAGTGACTGTAGAGCACTAAACCCCAAGTGCTGTGCCCTACTGAGCACCCAGGCCCTGTGCAAGCTAACCAGCTTGTAGCACTTAGCCTGACTTGGTGAAAACACTGCTTTAACACCAGCTTTAATGTACCCTCCATGCCAAAGATACTGTCCTCGGCAAGAGTCACATGCACGGCATCTTGTCTATGTCCCTTTTCCAAGCTGCCAGACACCTGCAGCACGGGGAGCCCTGCTCTCCTTGGACTTAATTCACAGGCCTGTTTTAGGCTTGACTTCAGGAATTATTTGCTGCTGGACAGTTTCCCTGGACAGCTCACCTGTCAAGGTAAGCAAGAGATTCCAGGTGGAGGCTTCTCAGAGGTGACAGAGCTGGGGCTACTGCATTAGGAGTGCCTCCCTGGCCTTGATCACCATGCAGAAATGCACACATCACACAATAAAAGTAGGCACATCGCCAAAGGTATTTGCCTAAGTGTGGGTTCCAGGTGCTGGTGCACATTTGATTGTGGTTGGTGGCTGGGTAATGTATATGTGTGTTTGTACAGAATAATTTACCACAGAAATAGAGACACTCCCATTTGATTTCACTTATTTCTAATTTTTAAAAAGTAATATTCATACGTGCTAAAGATACAATATATATGCACATTCTTAAGTTTTGAAAGAACTGACTTTTGCCTTTGTTGATACTATCTTAATTTTTAAAAAATATTAAGTTCTACTCATTCATTTCTTTGAACATAGTCTGTTTTTTCAAATATATAACATCTTCAGATCAACGCTTAGCTCATTAGCTTCTTGAATTTAAATAACTTTTCTCACATGAGAATTAAGATAAAATTTCCTAAATCATGACTTCTGGTGCATCCTACAAGTTTTGACATATAGCATTTTGATTGTTACACAGTTCTAAGTATTTTTAAGTTTTCACTATAATTTTTTGTCCCATTATTTATTTATTCCCTTTAAAATGTATAGGTTTTTAAAATATTATTTTATTTTTATTTATATATATATTTTTTTGAGACAGAGTCTCACTCTTGCCCAGGCTGGAGTGCAGTGGCATGATCTTGGCTCCCTGCAACCTCTACCTCCTGAGTTGGAGCAATCCTCCTGCCTCTGCCTCCCGAGTAGCTGGGATTACAGGTGTGGGCCATCACGCCTGGCTAATTTTTGTATTTTTAGTAGAGATGGGGTTTTGCCATGTTGGCCAGGCTGGCCTTGAACTCCTGACCTCAGGTGATTCACCCACCTCAGCCTCCCAGAGTGCTGGGATTAGAGGCGTGAGCCACCGTGCCCAGCCTAAAATATTATTAATTTCTAACTTAATTGCATTGTGGTCAGACAATGTGGATTGTATGACACCAGTTCTCAGAGATTTGTTGACACTTGCTTTATAAGTTAGAAGTTGCACAAGGAACACTTATAAACACTCCACCTTGATTTAACAGTTGTTAATATTCCATATGTTCTTCAGAAGAATGTCTAATTTTTCTGTCCAGGGTTCTGCATGTATCTATTAAATCATTTGTTACTTATGTTTACATCTTTTATATCATTACTAATTTTTGTCTGTTTGACCTATCAATATTCAAACTAGTATACTGAAATCTCGAATTTTGATGGTTCAATGACAATTTCTCCTTATGGTTTTTCAGTTTCTCTTTTGTCTATTTTAAGGTTTTACGACCCTCATCAATTTAAAATTGTTTTATCTTCCTCATAAATTGAACACTTTGTCATCATGTAGTCATCCTCTTTATCTCTACAAAATGATTTAAAAGTATATATTATCTGATATAAATATAGCTATTCTACCTTTATTTTTGATATATTTGCCTGGTATGTTTTTTCCATCATTTTACTTTCTGCCTCTCCATTTCCTTATATTGTGGATGTGTGTCTTGAAAGCAGTTGAAGCTAGATTTTATTTTTTTGAGATGGAGTTTTGCTCTTGACCCCAAGGCTGGAGTGCAATGGTGTGATCTTGGCTCACTGCAACCCCTGTCTCCTGGGTTCAAGCGATTCTCCTGCCTCAGCCTCCCGAGTAGCTGGGATTACAGATGCCCGCCACCACGCCCAGCTAATTTCTTGTATTTTTAGTAGAGATGAGGTTTCACCATGTTGGCCAGGCTGGTCTCGAACTCCTGACCTCAGGTGATCCACCTGCCTCGGCCTCCCAAAGTGCTGGGATTATAGGCATGAGCCACCGCGCCCAGCTGAAGCTGGATTTTATTTTGTTTTCAAAATCAAATCCATCAATCTCTGATTGTAACTGGCATGTTTAATCTGTTTTTTTTGTGATTACTCATATATTTAAATTGACTTGATTCTGCTGTCTTTGTGCCTTCTGCTTGTCTTTTTTTTTGGCCTTTTTAAAGAAACTTTCTTGGCTTTTTATTTTTAAAAAATAATTATTACATTGTTGTTTTTTTATCCTATTTTCCCTCACTAGATTTTTGGTAGTTAGCTAATTTATATTTTTCTTTTTCATGTGTGCCCTTAAAATTTGTTATGCATTTTTTAAGCATCTCAAGTTTTTCAATAGCCTAATCCCCGGCCCAAATGATACAAGCTCCTAGAATCTTTTAACTCCATCTATCTCCCTGTGACTTACATTATTATTACCCTCTTTTTAGTACCACCTTGCTTTCCTTAAAGTCCAAGGCTTCATTTTTTAATAATACAAGATTATTTTTGTTGATGTCTTTTCTCATATTTAAATAAATCAAAAACATTTATTAATATTTATAGTCTTAGAACTTTTTCTGTTAAAACCACCAGGTGAAATGTTTTATTTTCATAGCTTTGTTAACAAGTACAGCTTTTTTATAATCCCACAAGTTAATATATATTACTTAAAAATGCATTTGTTTAGGCCAGGTTCGGTGGCTCACGCCTGTAATCCTAGCACTTTGGGAGGCTGAGGCGGGTGGATCACCTGAGGCCAGGAGTTCAAGACCAGCCTGGCCAACATGGTGAAACCCCATCTATCCTAAAAAATACAAAAAATTAGCCAGGCGTGGTGGTGCACACCTGTAATCCCAGCTACTTGGGAGGCTGAGGCAGGAGAATTGCTTGAACCTGGGAGGTGGAAGTTGCAATGAGCTGAGATCATGCCACTGCACGCCAGCCTGGGCGACAGAGTGAAACTCTGTCTCACAAACAAAAAAACATTTGTTTAGATTTAACTAAATACTGATAAACTTTATCACTTACTATTGCCTCTTGCATCTCATTCCCTTCTTCTGTGGTTATTTTTTATTTTTCTTGAAGTACATACTGTAGAAGTTTCTTTAATAAAGACTTTTTTGTAGTAAACTATTGTTTAAGTCTAAATTGTCTTAAGACAGTTTTTCTAAGTTGACAAAATTTTCTTCCACTAAAGTTATTCAATAGTTTTGTGGTTTCCACTGTTACAATTGATAAATCACCTACCAGCCTAATTACAATTTATTTGTAGATAATCTGCCCTTTCTTTTTGGCTGCTTTTGTCTTGGTGTCCTGCATTTCCCCATACTATGTCCAACTGTTGCTTTCTATTTATCTTGCCTGTTATATCTTTTTTCTTCATCTGTGAATTCATGTCATTCATAAGTTCTAGAAAATGATAATCTCTTTATGTCTTTGAATATTGGCTCTCATTATTTCTATTTTATCTTTCTAGAATTCCAATTAGATATAGGTTAGATCTTCCCATTTCATTTTGTCTCTAAAATTCTTGATCATCTCTGCATTCTATTTCAGCATTTTCTGTAATTATGTTTCTCTTCAGACACATTTATTACTGTTTACTCTTTCACTAAGTTTTACAAGTTTTAATTGTGAAATTCACAGAAAATTAGAATGAACAGAATCATAAATAACCTGTATATCTTTCACCTATATTCTCCAACTGTTACTATCTTGCTATTCTTTATATGTATATATGTATATAATGTACACATATATTCATTCACGCACACACCCTATCCTACTTCCCTTTAGGAAAACCATCTGAAGGTAGGGTGCAGCCATCATACATGTTACTCTTAAGTACTTCAGCATACCTATCTCAACAAAGACATTCTCTTATAAAAACATGATACTACTACCACATACAAGGATACTGACATTAATTCAATAATATCATCCAACATATTGTTCATACTCAAATTTTCCCTATTGTTCCCCAAATATCATTTATATTAGCTTTTTTCCAATCTTGGATCGAATTAAGATTCACACAATTACATTTGACCATTTTGTCTCATTTGTCTCCCATTCTAGAACAGTACCCCATGTCCCTCTATTCTTCATGATATGAATCCTATAAACAATGTAGGCAAGGTGTTCTGAAAAACATTCTAGATTCTGGAATTGTCCATTGGTTTCCTCATTATTAGACTTGGATTAAACATCCTATCTGAGGTCCACCAAGACGCTCATTTAGGTGACGTTGTGCACCTCCCACTGCATCCCCTCAGGAGGCACATAATGCCAGATCTCACCACGTAAAGGCACATTTTCCTGTTTGTAATTAATAAGTAACATGTGAGTGGTTCTGTGAGACTATTTAAACAGCCTGTTCCCCAACAACCTGTCACGCGATGGTTTTGGCACCCTGTAATCATCAGTTATTGTAATATGTTATTAACATTGTTATTACATTGTGAACCACAAACTGGTGATTTTCTAATTCTACCATTCCTTCTACATTTATTAGCTAGCATTCTTGTATAGAGAACATTTTCTCTCTTCCTCCATTTTTGGAAGTCCTCTATATAGACTTGCGGATTTTAAAAATTCAAAGTGTTATAATTCATTATCTTTATACTTTCTAACGTTCAACTTACTCAAAATTAGGCCAGTGGGAATCCCATCAAGATGACTCCTTTGTCCTTTTGAAAAGACATTGTTGGTTTTTAATTATTTTCTTGCTTTCTGGCATAACAAGTTTCTCCAGGCTAATATTGTACCTTCCCTGGGGCAATCTAGAATTAGGACTTTCTCTAAGAAACCCTGGTTCCTTTTAAAGGTATTTAGAAACCACAATGTGGTTATCAGGCATGCTCATTGTCACTGGGGTGTCCCATTTGGGTGTTTTATTTCAACACTTAGCTTTTCCATTAAAAAAAAAAGCAATTTGTTTTTCAGATCAGCATGGTCATTTTAAAAAGTTATCTCTTGTTCCTTCGAATTATATTTTAATATCATGTAGCAATAGATTTTTGTCCAAATAAGATGGAGGAGGAAGAAAAGCAAGAAAAGGAGGAGGAGGAAAATAGAAGAAAGGCAGGGGGCATTCTCATTTATCAAGTAACACCAAACAGACAGTACCTTCGGAATGGTCGTGGGGGCTGCTTTGGATCTATAGAGTTAAGTCTGTTGCACTTTATTTTTAAGTTTATTGGTGGATATTTGTTGATTGCACCTAGAAGAGAAAAGTCTGTGATAAGTCTTGTATTCATGACTGTTAACATTACTGCAATCTGCTCTGTACACAAAGTGCCACTTTACTGTTTTAAATAGCCATCAAGAAAAATACCAACTAAGGTGATCACATGAAATGAAAGCAGATTTCTCAGGGGAATCTTTAAAACTGACTTTAGAAAACACATCCCTTCTGAATTTATAGGTGAATTCAACTAACTTTTCAGTAAGATCCTCTTAGCTGCTAAAGCGGGTCAACCATTAGAGGAGATAACAATGAGCCAGTCCTAATAGGTCTGGCTTTTAATTGATATAAACTAACAAGAGTAGTTATTTATTTGCTCCTTTGAAATATCAAAATGCAAAGGAAAAAAGACATTTTCTTTATGATCTTTGAAACACTAACAACAGCAACAATAGCACTAACATCTTGGGTTCAGTTCATTAGTGGCTCATTTCATTTGGAAGTGTATTAATTTTTCATAACAATGAAGCATGCCTCTTTTTATACCATGTAAAGATTTAAAAGCCATTTTTGATGGGAATTCTTAAAAATGTATTATCTATTTCTTTGAAGCAGTAAATCAAATAGATTTGCTAAACACAACTAGATCTCTTCCTGGTCACCCAGGGTCATCATAAGTAGCAAGTTTGTCCTGGACCGTGACCCAACACTGTCTCCAGAGCTGCTGTTCTAAGTAAGACTGTGTGCTCTGGACTGAATGGCCTAAGACTGTGTGATGCTTCTGTTATTGTGCACCTGATTTTTAATTTTTTTATCTGTGTTAAGTATCAGATGGTTTGTCAGCAGTTTTGTTTCTCTTAGAAAATGTGTTGATTTTGATGTGGAGTGTGCTTGATAGTCAACTCTATTATAACAGTATATTTAAATAAGAGCCACAAAGCGAGGGAGCTAGACCAGAAGACCAGTCAGTAACCAAGACTGTTTTGGTCACTCCTTGATACCCAGCATCAGAACAGTGAGTGGCTCAGAGAAGTTCCCCAGTAAATATATGTTAATGTTGAATGCGTTAGTACAAGTCTGTGAGCCTGCTATGGAATTAAGCATGTAGACTTGAACATGATTATGCAAAGTCTTTCTTGACTTGTACTTTTATAGTTACATTTTAAAGATTGAAGATTTATAGATCTAAGTTCTAGAAGAATGGTGTATAATTTCATCATGGTTATAATTTTCCCAAAGCACTTTATGTATCTCTCATGTACCCTAAGTACTTTTTTCTTAAAACATCTTTTTACCTTTCCTCAGTTGAGGGGTGGGGTGGTGCCATTTATCTAATAATATAATTTGACTAATAACCCATGAAACACTACCAAGAATTTTGGGGGAGTGGGGAAGGAAATTCCATCATAAGACTTCTTGCAACTTCTTGCCTGATGAGAGTTTCTTTACAAGTTATCAGTCTTTAGAGATGTACTTTTTTTACCCTTACAAATGCCTTATGATTCCTTTCTTCAGAATGGCCCCATCCCCGTTTTTTTCCTTTTTTTCCTCAGCTCTTCTTTCTGGCTTCTATTCCAGAATACATCCACATAAATTTCATTCTGGGGGCTTATTGTTCCCATCCAAGTGTTTCTCAAACCATAATATACATATGAGTCACCTGGGGATCTTTATAATATGCAGATTCTGGTTCAGAATGACTGGGTTGGGTCCTAAGATTCTACATTTCTAACAAGCTCCCAAGTGACACTGGTACTACTGGTTCTAGAGTCAGTTTGAATCATAGAGGATATACTATCAGCCCCAACAACAATCTCCAAGGCTCCTTAGACCTCACCCTACACTGACTGATAAGTCTGTGTCTCTACAGCTTTAACTGGGCTTGCCACGTAATATCAGAGGCACATTTGAGACACAATCAGGACCTCAGTTGAACCACACCGGGTACTCTTTTGCCTGTGTGTTCATTTTTCTGTATCTGGACTGCAAGGGATCATTTACCATGAAAACGTTTGCAAGTCCTACCAAGTGCTTTTCACCCTTCAGAATCATATTAGGATACAGCTTTTTATCCACCCTGTTGCATTCAAAATGGATTGCATATTTTCAAGGCAAACTTACTCCAAGAAATGCAGCCCATGTTTCTTTTTTATGGGCACCAGTTACTCTAATTACTGGCATCATAAAAAGAGCCATTAACAAGGCTAAGAAAGTTTTGCAAGGCTCTATTTTTCATTCTGACAGGTAAAATGGTATCTCCTAACACTTCAAACTCTGCCTCAGGAACTTGTGAAAGCAAAGCCAAGAACTGTTTAATTTTTCTTTGGCTCTCTTTTTTGGTGCCTTAACAGATGAAACTTTCCATCAAAGGGCAGTGTGCTAAGGTTACACTGCAAGGATTTCTACTTTGTAGCTAAAGTCCAGGCTATGACTTCACACCCCCGGACTGCACTGCTCCATGAAGACAGATGTGTGAACAGCTGCTTGTTATGATTGCTTCTCTATAGGAACCAGAGGCATAAAAAAAAAATAAGCCAGAAAACTAAATGTGTAGGAATCAGAGGTTTCCTCCCTTCTACCATCCGTCATTATATATTTTCCTTTCTGACCCTGAAGTGCCCTTGAAGACAGACAAGAGGTTTCCAAGTATCCATGTTAGCTCATCAACCTTTTTTTAGTAATACCAAGTATATTCTTAAAGTGCAGAGAACAACAGATTTTATGACTTACGCCTGATTGAGTTTATAAAGGACTTCACAAACTTCACACCATAACTGTGGTCAGGTTTATGAATTCGGCCAAGCTGGACCAGGTGGTGATCCAAAGGGTGGCTGGCGAGATCCTCCAGTTCCTTGTCATCCCAAATAGGGCCAAGGGAAAACACAAATAAGGCATATCCCTGACATTTGGCTCGCAAGGATTCCTTCTTTAAGATTTCCCCATCTAAGTGGCTGGTTTCCCCAGCAGATATCACAAATATGACTTTGTTTCTTCTCAGATTGGGTGTACTTAAAAATACATTGTCCAGAGTCCACTGTAAGGCATGACCAATAAAAGCATCTCCATTTAGTTGTTTAACTGACTCGTGCACATGCCTCTTCATGAGGCGCTTACTTCTGTAGGTGGTAAGATTGAACTCAGCTCTAACTGGACTCTTCTGAGTGTTGGGTAGGAAGTCGGGGGGAGCATGGCTCAATAGGGCCACCCGGTCTCCAGTGACAGAAGTCTCCGGCTCTGGGGTGATTTCAAAGTGATCTAATAGTGCTCCAAGGAAGGCTCTTATGTCTTCAAATTCAGCACTTCCCATGTTCCGGGAGGCATCCAGAAGGAAAGCAGCATCCATGTAAGACTGCACAGGGGGTGGTCTGGCTTGGTCACAAGAAGCATCTGGCTTGCACACATCTGTGAACCAAAAGTTACTCTGGGTTACTAAGTAGAAATAGAAAAGGGAAGATAGCATGTCAAATATTTTGACATTTGGAAACTGCATAGTCTTTGATGTTAAAATAGTGACTAAATACTTTAATAGTAACAGGAAGATTTCCTAGTACATGGTTTGCATCTGTCCCCCAAAAGTACAGATTTTATACCCAGCTTGTGTCTTGGACTCCATTTACTAATGCTATCAGACTTTTAAAGATTAGGCTGTTTTCAACAGAAGTTTAATCTTGGCTGTGTCTCAAGTTTATGTCATTTGAAGTGGACGATTGGCCTCGTGCATGCAAGGGTATACTGTATCACAACATAACAGTGACTCATCCCTCTAGATTGACAATATTATCACTACGCTTATATTCTACTATGAAGAAGTGCTTACAAAGTAAAAGTGAACAAAGTAATATATCTTTTATTTCAATTTAAATAAGTTTATAACTCAGTGTCTACCTATGAGTGATCCTTAAGGACAAAGCTCATCTTTGCATTTCCATAGTGCTCATTAGTTGAAAACTGAATACATGTTTGTTAAATGAATATTAGATATTAATGGACTTTCCTAAATGAGGTCATTTTATAAATATGCATATCTCATTTAATAAAAGAATGCATAGTAATAAAAACGGGATTTTATTGAATATGACCACCATGAATATTCAGAGGAATAAAAAAATGGAAATGGAAGGTTCTTAAAGGTCATTTAATGTTGTAATTTTACAGAAGAGACTGTGGCCAGGATAGTAAAATAATTTTGCCTAAGGACACACCAGTATTTCTAGAAGTTTCTATATAGGAAGTCAGTATTTTATTGTTAGAGATGAGGCCAGGTGGTATAGTAGTGGGGAGGCCCCTTGGCCTGAGAGCTGGGATGCTTGGGTTCTGGTCTCGTTTCAGTAACAAGCTGTGTGCCCCTAGCCAAGTCACCACTGGGCTTCAGTTCAGCATAGTTCTGTAAAATTAGGTGGTAGGACCAGGCTCACCTACAGACCCCTTTCAGGGCTGACATTTTGTAATCCTGGGTTTTCAATAGTAGTTGATGGTTGAGGATGAAAATAGCCTCTTTAATAACCAAAGATAAGAAAGAAAAATGGAGTAACATGAGTATGGACAGTTGGTACTGGATATATAGGCAGAGGCCACAAATAAAAACTTAGATGAAAGATTAATAACCAGAGTGCTGATCCTAGGAGATGTAAGAAAATTCTCACTACAGTCTTGTTCATGGACTCAATAAAGATGTGACTTTGGATAAGTTATGGTTCCCTTACTGAAGTTAACTAAAATTTTATGGTCCTGTATAATGGTCAGATGATAAAACAGTCACCTGTGTGCAAAGCAGTTTCTAAAATCAGGGACAGCAGGCTGCCCATTTGCTCAGTTTTGTAGGATTTTTAATTGCAGGAAACAACAGCCAAAATCTCTTTTATTATATGCCTAAGAGACAAAACAAGGGTTTAAGCCAAGAAATGAAGCCAAAATCTATCCCCAGTCACACATGTGCAACTTCTGACTATGCAACATACCATCACACTGTTGTAACTGACATGTTTGAAAAAGCAACTGAGAATACATAGGGTGGAATGTATCTCCCCACAGTATGTAAAGCACTTTAACTGTTCTGAGTAAGATTGCCAGCGCCTAAACCAATTCTGTGCAGTCAAGAGAAGGAGAGGGAAAGAGGGAAATTTGATAGAGGGGAGCAGAGGGAAGACAGAAAGAAGAGGGGTTATTAGAAGACCAGAAACCCTACTTCTCCCTCAGAATTACTACCTTCCTCATTTAGGTCATTTATATGGCAGGCATTTGCATCTCACTGATACATGTGAAGGAGAAAAATCAAGCATTTTCTACAGGCTCAAATGGAGAGGTTTAGGGAGCAGAAGAATGAGACCTGTTTTTCATAAACTGCAGACGGTTTAGAGTCAGCCTTCTTGGGTTTAATATGGCTGTGAAGCCCTGAGCAAATTACTATCTCTAAGCTTTATTTTTCTCTTCTGTAAAATGGAACTAATAGTAGTTTAAATGTTTTAGGGTGATTTTAAAGACTGAATGACATAATTCATTTAAAGTTATTAAAACAGTGCTTGGAACATAAGCACAATAGTTTAAGTATTAACTGTCATTATCACCATCATTGATATTACATGAATTAGAACAGTGCATGGCCTATAGAAAATGCTTTATATCTCTTAGCTATTACAGCCACCAATGATTCCAGTGGCTTCCACTGTCTTTGTAATTATTAGAACACTCAAATGGAAGATTAGAGTCCAGTTTTCTAGTTAGACCTATACATTACGTATAAAACACTACAAATAAATCAACACTGCAAATCTTTCTGATGCTTAATATTTGGGAGTCTATGAAGCCTTTTTTCAATGAGAAATGTATGAATTTCTGCTATTTTCCACTTTGACTGTACTAAAAAATATTCCTAAGCAGGTAGGAGGGTGCTGAATTGCTTTCAGGCATTTCTTTGTGGCTGTGAACATTTGAGATTTAGAAAACACATAAATATACTTTATAGCATAAAAACTTGGCAATGAAATAGGCTGTTTTTCTAAGAATCATTACTGTTTCCTGTAAGCTGCACTATGTAGAAAGGCCTGGAATGCAACTCTTTTGCTGGGATATATAGGAAGAGACCATGTTTGCTGAGCTGAGAGGATTCATCTGTGGAAGATGAAGTGTGACAGGGTGGGCCCAGAACCCCAGAGAGGTCCTCCCAAGGCCATAAGTATCCCTGCTGCCAAGTTCCAGTTGCCCCTGCCAGTGGTGACTCATCATGCTTAATAGGCCTGACCAAATTACCTTCTCTCTGTGGGTCTTACCATAGCAGAAAGTGCACCGCTGGAGTCTCTCTAATGCTGGTATGTAGTCGGCCCCGGAGGGAACCACTATTACTTGAAATGTGCCAGTGTCGTCAATCTAAAAGAAGCAGAAGCAGCAGAAAGAACTTAGTGGGTAGGGCTGCAAGAACCTCTTAGGACTACATAGAGAACTGACATCTGGAGAGAGTAACACTGCTCCTTCTAAGAAGGTACGGGGGAGGCACAGCATGTAAGCATGGCTAAGAGCTCTGTCTGGGTTTAAACCTTGACTCTCAATTTAACTATATGACAAGTTATTTTCCATGTTTCTTCATCTGTAAAATAAGAGTACTACTACCTCCTAACAGGACTACTGTGAGCATTAAATGGGTTCATATTTGTAAAGCGCTTGCACAGACAGTACAGTGTGGGTGGTTAATGATCACAAAACATTTTCATATCTATTACTGCAGCAATACAGTGAGTTATGCTCATCATCCCCATTTTACAGATGGGGAAACTGAAGCTCAATGAAACGTTAAAAGGACCGATCAAAAGACACTGAAGCCATTTAAGAAAGAGTATCAGAGACCTCCTCTCCCCTACCTAAGTCTCAGAGACCCATGTAAAATCACAGGATGCCCTTTATAAACTATCTTTAGGTTTCTACTATAAACTAGGCATTGAAGCTGTCTTTGAAATACACTCAGATCTACGTCCATGCAGCTCTCTGAACAACTCCCAACCCTTTCCCAACTTGGCCCCATTGTTAGTAACCCACAGGGGGAGCTTGAGGGTAGAGAACAGGGGGAAGATAAGGAGGCTCTGAACAAGAATTATGAGCTTCACTAATTGACCCAGAGATCATTGATAATTAAAGAAAAACTGTAGGCATGACCTTATCTAATGCCTAAGAGATGAGTCAGATGATATTTTAGTTTTTCCCTGTGATTCTCCTGTCCTAAGCTAATGACTACCCTCTTTCTCTGGGAAGATCCCCCATCACCATAATTAATCCACAGAGGTAGAACTTCATCAGTTGTTTATATGGCGTAACTCTGTCTTCAACCATAGCTGACTGGACTAGATATGGTGTTAAAGTACATTTGGCCTGAGGACACCTCTGTATTTTGAGTCCTCATGTAACCAACTGCAACCTAACTTAGTACGTACTAACTGAAAACCTATCTTAGGAGTTGTTGTTGTTGTTGTTGTTGTTTTAAACAAATAGCCAAGTCTTAGCCAATCATAGCGGCTATGCTTCAGTTAGTCACAAGTGGCCAACTGATTAGACCATGTTCAAATGAGGCAAAGCCCGAACCGTAATCAGTCAAGCTGTTTCTGTAGTTCACTTCCATTTTCATCCATAAACACTGCCTGCCACATTGTGAAGAACAGCTCTCTGAAACTCCTCTGGTTCTGAGGGCTGCTCGATTTGATGGCAGTGGTGGCCCATCTGGAGTGGCCACTGCCATGATGCTGGCTGCAGTCAGGCCCACTAGGCTTGTCCCACTCATTCAGCCTGGCAGGCTGTGCTTGGTTCATGCTACCTGAGTACAGTCGGGGCTGCACACTCCATGGAACCCTGGGAGCTGGGAACAGGTGGAAGCCCCACCCGCTTCTGAGTTGGCAGGGTAAGAGCCTCCTGCTCCTTGAATGCAGCTGCGGCCATCCAGCTGTGGCTCCAGACCCAGGCATCCCTGTGCTCTTGGGGGCTGGGAGTAGGCAGGGGCCCTGCCCTCCTGGGAGCAGTTGCAGCCGTCTGGCTGCGGCTGTGGGCCCAGGCATTTCTGCACTCTTGGAGACCTGGGAAACCCCTTGCCCCTACCAGCTCGAAATGCCTGCTCCTGCTACCTAGCCTCTCTCTGCTCCAGCACCTGCTCTGATCTTGGAGCAAAGTTGAGGCTGAGCCCAGGCACTGTTGCAACCCGGCCAGGTGTGCACACACCATGGGCAGTGCTGACATGCCAGCCTCACTGCCTCAGCCCCCTCCCGAGTTTGGGTGCTAACAAGCACGAGAGGGAGTCCAAGGGGGGTTCTCAGGGCAGCTTGGTACTGGCCTGTAGGCACCCCTCAGTGCAAACAGCCTGGGCTCCACTGGATGACAGAAGGAGGCAGACAGGCCTCTGTGTGGAAAGGGGTGGGTCCTCAGTGAAACCCCACCTTCAAGCCAGGGGGAGCCCGAAGCCTGGGGGCTGGGCTGACCAAAATGGGAACTTATGGTGCTTTTTCTGGCCCGTCAGTGGCCTCCCATTAATCAATCAGCACACACTTCCTCCCCTCTGAAACCCATAAAAACCCTGGACTCGGACAGACTCAAGGAGGCCACCAGTTGACCAGCTGCAGAGAGGAGCTACCCACCCCAGGGCCTCCTCTCTGCTGAGAGCCAGACACTCATCAGGAGACCCTGTCTGCAGAGAGGAGCTACCCACTGCAGGTCTCCTCTGAGCTGTTCTGTCACTCAATAAAGCTCCTCTTCACCTTGTTCACCCTCCACTTGTCTGTGTACCTCATTCTTCCAGGATGCAGGACAAAAACTCAGGACCCACTGAATGGTAGAGCTAAAACAGCTGTAACACACACAGGGCTGAAACATGCTCCTTTTTCACCACGTTGTGGGTGACAACAAGGTGAGGAGAGAGGAGAGGAGAGAGAAGAGCTGCAGCCCTCTGGGGAGCCCAGACCTAGGAGCTCAAGTCAGGGCTGTGATACCCTCTCTGGGGGTCTGCAGTTCCTGGCATCTCCAAGTTTCCAGGTGCCACCATGTTCCCCAGTGCCAGCTGTGGAAGCTGCTTGAGGTACACCTGGTCCAGCCACAGCCTCGCAGGGAGCTGCCCACCCTGCCACCCCACAATCACTTGCTCACACACCCCTCGCTGCTCCATGCCTGGCTTGCCCTTGGCAGGTATGAGATTCAGGCTGGTAGCATGAGCCAAGCACAGCCTGCCAGGCTGAATGGGTGGAACAAGCCTAGTGGGCCTGAGTAAAAACTTGGGCAAAGGCACCACTGGCCACAGAGGTTTCCAGCTGGTGGAGCAACACCCCAAAGATCCCATGACAGATTTACAAATAGCTCTTAGTGCAAATAAACTCTGCAAAATTTAACTTGCCTAAAGTTTTTAACACTTTGGTATCACAAATGGGATCCAAAGTAGACTTCCAGTGACTCCCAGGCGCACCAAGTGACCAGGTAAATATACCTGCCTGGTCCACTGTGCCCATTGATCTCTCACAGCAACTGGGATCATGGGTGAGTTCTCTTTGATTCAAGCTCCATGAACTTGTGTTTTGAGCTCTTCAAGTTTATTTGAGTAATTTTTATATTGGCTGGGTCCAAGATCAGATTGGATCCTGTAATTAATAGGATTGCATCCAATTAGAGGCCTCAGATGTCTGACTGGGTCAGGCAGAAGCTGGACTGGGTCCAGTAGGTTGGTAAGATTAAGGAAGACAGAGAAGAGTGGGTTCATCTGGATTCAACAAGTCTTCTATCTTGGAACCTATTCTCTTCTAGAGAAATGGGTAAACCTTACCAAAAATAAGAGTTACAGTGGCCACCGTGGGAAAGATTTAACCCAAACAAAATTGCTTATCTATGAGGCACTTTGGAGGGTAAAAAGGGGATCCTGGACACCTCAGGAACAATGGGCTATATTACTCATTACTAGTCATTATTCTGGAGCTTGCAAGATACATAACTTCCCCAATTTACTCCTACAGATAACATCACTACTGTAGAACCTATGATTGGCCCTTTGAGATGTCTTCAGGTTGTTTTGCATTTCTGATAACTAATGGCTCCACCTGAACCCACCAACCACTCCTGTGGCCCCGCCCAGAAGTGACTCAGAGTGTATGAAGACCATTTTCCACACCCCTATGATTGCATTTCCAACCAATCTGCAGCAAGTGCCATTGCCTAACCACTCCCCTCTTCCCCCAAACTATCCTTGAAAAGCCCTAGCCTCCAAATTCTCAGGGAGACTGATTTGAGTAATAATAAGACCCCGGTCTCTTGTTCAGCTGGCTCTGCATTAATTAAGCTCTTTCTCTACTGCAATTCCCCATCTTGCTAAGTCAGCTCTATGTGGGCAGTAGGCAAAATGAACCTACTGGAACGTTACATGAGCACAGGGTAAAAGCAGAGGCTGCTTATCTGGACTTAGGACCAGAGGACACCTGGGCTCCAGATACTTATAAATTCTACTTAGGATGTGTGTATATGGGTATACCTAAGCTAGCTTAAATTGGTTTTTGTGATCTGTAAACAAAGTAGTCTTGACTATACACCAGGAGAGTTAGTCTGCATTATTAATAGCTATTAAGAGGTGTCTCTTTGCAATGTTTTAAGTGAATCATGCCTTCACTCCATCTGGATTGTGGTAAATGACTGGAAACCAAACCCAGTGTCAGTTCAGACAGCATAGCTCAGACTACCTGGGAAGGGCCAAGAGCTTTCTTATTGCCAATGATCAGGATCCAGGGGGAAAAAAAAATCATGGAACATTTGATCTAGAAGAAATCAGGAATGATGTCATCTATTGCAACCATTTAAAGATGAGCCAAGTGAGCCTCAGAAGGGGTGGATTATGGAAGGCTCCGATTTAAGTTTTGCTCTCCCCAAACAAGGGCTACCTTCCATCTTCTGTATTAGCTACCTTTATGATTAGAGTTTTTTATCAGTAGGTCTCTAACTTAATTTAGAGCAGTGTTTCTCAAGACATTGCCCAAACATTGCTGCCATTTGCTAATTAGTCTTCTATTCTACATGTTCTACATGTCTACAACATGACCACTTCCATATTTCTGGTGTTGGTCCCTGCTGATAATTTAGGCTCACATTTAATCACGTATCAACACATTGGTGTCAACTTAGAGCAACATCAACCTTCTCATTGATTCTAGTGAGTTGTTTTATGGGGAGAGTCCACAGGGGGTCTGCACTCTCACCCAATACCTCCCCACTTCCCCCAACCTTTCCCCCTTGACCAAGTAATCTTTCAGTCAATAAAGTCTGGAAGATGTAGTTTTAGAGTTCATTCATCCTACCACATATCACTGGAATAAGTATAGTTAGCATATTACAGAAAAATTCCTTAAACTGAATGTGGGCTAAAGATTTAAAATAAAATGGTCCTATTATTTATGTTTCTTATTGCTCACTCTCCTGTGGATTCAAAGAAGCACCAGCTTGGATGAAAGCACAGCTATTACATTCACAGATGGGAGGTTTGGGGCATTTAGCAAAGGGTTCTGAATGATACCTTACTCTTTCTTCTCTAAACATCATGGGGCATGTCTAAACATCTAAGAAAAAATACAATGAATATTATGAATAATTCTCTTCTAGACAATTATATATAAACAAATAAAAATTATCTTCAAAATAAAAAGGTTGGGTGCCAAAATTCTTGTTTTCCATGAGAAGTCTCCCCCCATTTCAACTCTGTCTCTAATCATGAGAATCATCTATAATGTCAAAGACTACACTTAATTTTCCTCTTAGCTGCGACGCCACACAGCAGTGTAAAATAAAAAGCCAGGCTAGCTAAAAGACATATTTCTTATCAAAATATTGGAAAGGGAGATTCACCCTAGATTAGAAGCCTCAATGTGCAGCACGTCAAATTTTATCAGAAGAAGCAATTGCTAAACAAATCTAAAGGCAAATTCCTAGGGACAAAATAAGCAAACAAACAAAAAACATGTTTTTCCATTAAAAAATGGTCCTCCATTTGTGAAGGAAGGCACAGCTTGCCACTCAACTTCATACTATCATGAAAAACTTCCAAGACGGTGATCACAGTCCATTTGCTAAGAAACAGGGAAATCAGTATATGCTGTCAGAGCGGGTGCTTCTGAGTCCCAACACACATGGCTGCACAGGTACCAAATTTCATGATGGACTACTTAACTCCCAGATGGATCAAGATTTAGAAAAGCCTTGGTAGGTATGAAACAAACTAGGGTTTTAAAATGTGGACCCACAATAAAAATGCATTGTATCATGAGACTTTCAAGTTCTGTTCTTAAAAAATAATGGACAACAGTTTAAATGTAGGTAAAGCACAATGGAAGAGAATGGATAAAAGAAAGAAGGCGGCAAGTAGAGGTAGTAATGTAATTTCTCTTCTGTAATATCAGACATTGGGTTCTAACCAAGTTGCATATATGGCTCTGTTTTGAGCCCTTCCAGACAACCCTGCTTGGTTTCATCTTCCAGCGTCAGGGTGGGCCTTTTGGTTTTCCAGTTTGCTCCTGTATCCTCAGACCCTAGGACAGTACCTGGTGTATAAGATGAGGCACTCATTAAACATCTGTTGGATGAAACTTGGGAGCAATTCTGACTTCATCTCTGACTCCATAGCAAGTCCGAGTTCCTGAGCTTGTTGTAAAGCAATGTGGTCCTTGTTGTGTTTATCATCTCTGAATCTGACTTGCTGATATCTGAATGAGAAGAGGTACCTCTCCACGAGAAACACATCACTGGGGTTTCCTTTAACCAACCTACATCCCAGCATTAGGCATCTCACACATTATTAAACTTTTGTTCTTTCTATACCTGTTGCAAAGAACTGCTCTTCGCTGAGCTTTTTCATTCATTCAGCATTTGTTAAATATCTGATGTATGGCAGGGACCAATAAACTAGAAGATCAGCAGTTACTGTTCCTATCGCCACACATCATAAATTAGGAAAAATAATCAGATAATCACATATAAGTTGCAGTGTTGGGGGCCAATGCTGCTTACATTAATGGGGGTCATTATGAAGAATTTAAACCTTCATTGGTGCTCTTTTGAGATGAACTTCTTCAAAAAAGGAGTTAAGAGTTTCTAGAAGATTTGAGTAGAATCAAGAAACCAGATTCATCAATTTCTAGGTGAGACTGAACACTCAAAAGTTTAAAACACAAAGTACATTTTCAGAAGTTAAATGTTGTACACACACCTTTGAGTGGGTGAGTGGAATTGTGTCAGTTTAAGTTTATATCACAATTTGCATCAGGAGAGAAAGTTGTCTCCTTTTATGACTAAACAAAACCAAGGGATAAGGGAATTACAAGGACTATGTAACCAAAATCACTTATTGAATTTTTTAGCTACTGCTACTTCTCATAGCAACTCTATTTGCATAGCCCGGCCCCACTCTTTTCTACTTTATTGCATTTCCCTATCTGAACCTGATCCATCAGCCTTTCATTTGCATAATTCTAAGGTTAGTTCAATGATGCTACTATTAATAATAGCAGTTTCAGCTCCTTTACAACCTAGATTATTATTAAACAAATTTTTGTTCAGGATCAAGCAACTGAATGCTAATAATTAAAGCAAAAGCTATCATTCTTTTTTTTTTTTTTTTTTTTTTTGAGATGGAGTCTCGCTCTGTCACCCAGGCTGGAGTGCAGTGGCACAATCTCGGCTCACTGCAACCTCTGCCTCCTGGGTTCAAGCGATTCTCCTGCCTCAGCCTCCTGAGTAGCTGGGATTACAGGCACACGCCACTGTGCCTGGCTAATTTTAGTATTTTTAGGAGAGACGGGGTTTCACCATGTTGGCCAGGATAGTCTCAATCTCTGGACCTCGTGATCTGCCCGCCTCAGCCTCCCAAAATGCTGGGATTACAGGCGTGAGCCACCGCACCCAGCCAAAAGCTGTCATTCTTGATTGCTCACTACGTACTGGCACTAATGCAGTGTTGCATAAATTAATCTTCACACTAACTCTAGGAACCAGGTGCTTTCTGCTTTCCATATTTTACAGATGAGAAATATATTCCAACTCTGTTATGCTTATTTCAACACTTTCACAGAAAATTTAGAACAGTGGAAATGGCCTCAAAAGGCCACTTTTAGCCTCTAATCTAGGAAAAATAGAAGTCACCCTCCACAGGTGAGTGACCACCCTTACAAAAGACCTGCAGATAAAGGTAACATCTTGACTACTGGCATTAATTCATGCCCAGTAAATCAACATTGCCTTTCAAAAATTCTTTTTTAAAACCTAAAGTTTCCTACTGCTGTCACCCCTAGTTTCTCTATGATTTTGCAGATTTGGAATTCAGCTGGCTAATTTTCTCCAGTAATACTTTTTCATACGCTTGAAGACAATGATTGTTTCTTGTCTTATTTTCTCTAAATAAATTTTCAAATGGCTGGCCTTTTTCTTTTTTCTTTTTTTTTTTGGAGACAGAGGCTCACTCTGTCACCCAGGCTGGAGTGCAATGGCACGATCTTGGCTCTGCCGCCTGGGTTCAAGCGATTCTCCTGTCTCAGCCTCCCCAGTAGCTGGGATTACAGGTGCCTGCCATCGCGCCCGGCTAATTTTTGTATTTTTAGTAGAGACGGGGTTTCACCGTGTTAGCCAGGATGGTCTCGATCTCCTGACCTTGTGATCCACCCGCCTCGGCCTCCCAAAGTGCTGGGATTACAGGCGTGAGCCACCGCTCCCGGCCCTGGACTTTTAATTTAAATTTTCCAATGCCTCTTTGCTGCTCCCTGGCCCCCCCCTTCACGGTCTCCACATGGAGAACAGAACACCATGTGGTGCCAAGAGGCCAACTGGAAGGACCCTTTGCTGGGCCCAGCAGGTCCCCAGTGATGAAGCCCTGCCACTGAGCCACTATTAACGGGATATTTTAAAGTTATCATCAGTCATCTTAATCCCAGGGAATTTATTTAGGAATGCAACACATTTGAGATTTTACTCCTCAAGCTAAGAAGCTATAACTGCAATGGCTTTTCCTTTATAATTAGTGAAGTTATAAAATCAGCAAATTGGCTCTCATCACACAGCAACAATTACTACCCTAAGTGACATGTATGTTTACCGGCCTCCTGATTCAGTATCTTTAGATTCAGAGGCAACTCAAAGAGTAGCTTGGGGAAGCACTAGAACAGCAAATTTGGAGTAAAGTTCTGACACTGCCATTTCTTAGCTGTGGGAACCGTGAAAAGTGGCTTAACTTCTGCATGCTCAGTTTTCTCATCATCTATTTTATACATACTACTTGTGAAAATTAAACAGGTAAATAATAGACATTATCCCATTTAATAGAAAGAGCTTAACGTGTTCCCAGTACACAGTAAGAAATACTTATTCTACTCTGCCAATCCAGAATTTTTTAAACTTCCTAACAAATGGCCCTGATTTTGAAGGCAAGGTAGTATAGGGGCTTCTGAATACAGGCAAGATAAGTAAGAATTGTCATGTGAAAGGTTTCATCCTCATACCGCAAATGCGCGCCTGACCGAGGGCACGTTGCTGAAAGTGATCACCACGGGAATGATTTCAAGCGCGCCGAACTCCATGGCAGCCGTGGTGATGGAGTGGGCATCCGCGGACTGACCGCTGCTGAAAAATGTGGCGATTTTTCTCGTGTGTGCCCCCGGAAGCGTCCGCTTGAAGACATTCCTGGAAATAAACCGCATTGCTCTGCCAATCTCCCTGCTGGCAGAGGATCTCTCATAAGGAATAGTTTCAATTTCTCTGAGAAGTTGACTCTTCTTGTAGGCGTCTGAGAAGCGCACAAGGTGCCTGGCGTGGGAGTTATAGGAGAGGATGGCGATGTGCGCTCCCACGGGGCAGCTGTTCTCCCGGACCTTAATGTCTCTCACCAGGAAAGCCATCATCTCCTTCATCCGCTCAAATTCCTGCTCAGTGACATCCCGGGAGTGGTCCAGGGCAAACACCAACTCGGTTGGGTGCACTGGGCATTCCGGTTTTCCTAAAAGACCATATCCCTTAACACATAGCATCCTTATTTAAAAAAAAAAAAAGATACATAGAAGGCAAAGTAATTTTAAATGTTAAGCATTCAAATACTTAAAGAGAATAATTTAAGTATTAAAACAAACATGTAAAATATATTTAAATCTTGAATAATTATAGATGTTATTCCAAAAGCTGAGTCTGCTCTTTTGAATCAAGCACAAAAGGAAAACATCTGGAATTCAGTTTTATTTTATATGAAATGTTAAAGTTCATTATCAAATTCCTTCTAAACAATAGAGAGCTCCTGGAAATACCCTTCACCTGCAGAGACTCGATCAAAAGTATCAAGTTTTGTTGCTGGAACTTCACTCAGTTAAACACATTTCTTTTTTTACTTAATAAGGAAATGTAATAAGAGTTAAAAAGGAAAGGCTGTGAAAGCTCTGATAATTTTAGAAAAATTGGAAGAAAACTGACATAATTTACAGAGCAAAGAATGAGACGCAAAGAGAGTAGGCAATACAGGGTAGAGTTTAGCGCCCTGGCCCAATCACTAACCAGCCATGTGACCCTGTCTGAATTACTCATCCTGTCTGTGCCTCAGTTTCTTCATCTGTAAAATGTGAGTCATAACATCACCTGCTACATAGGCCTGAGGTGAGCATTAAATGAATCAGCACAGGTAAAGTACTTAGAATAACAGAACCTGGCACATAGTAGGTGCTCAATAAATGTCAACCATTGCTGTTATAATTATCATTCCAGACTTTTTCATTGTGAGAAATACATCACTAAAAGGAGACTGAGGAAAGCTTTAACAGATACATTTTTGTTTAACAGTTACAAATGCAAGTTTACTCAATAAATATGCCTTATTACTTAGAGAAACTGATTATGGTTGGTAAACTCTACTGTAAGTGTTAATTGCATATTTATGCATCCATACTCATTGGTTCCAAATCATTCTAATTTCGGTACTTTGCACTTGTCACAGTTGATAACTTATTTTTGATTATCTGATTAATGTTCATTTATCCTAGTTTATGATGCATGGATAGGAAGAGGATCTGCTGACCTTCTAAGTTATTAGTCCCTGCCATATATCAGATATCTAACAAATGCTGAATGAATGAAAAAGAGCTCAACAAAGAGCAGTTCTTTGCAACAGGTATAGAAATAACAAAAGTTTAATAATACGTGAGATGCCTAGTGCTGGGATTTGGTTGGTAAAAGGACACCCCAGTGATGTGTTTCTCTTGGAGAGGTGCCTCCTCTCATTCAGATATCAGCAAGTCAGATTCAGAGATAATAAACACAGCAAAGACCATCTTGCTTTACAACAAGCTCAGGAACTCAGACTTGCTGGGGCTCACGTAGGCTGGCAAGGAGACATCCCTCTGCCATGGGCCAACTGGGCCTTGCCCACCTTAGTGCTAAACTATGACCTCCTCCCGTCCTTGACTCCATGTCCTTCAAAGGCAAAAGAAGTACCAGTGAGAATAAATGTTCAAACCCAAATCAAACTGTTCATCTCGATGGAGACAGGAAATCATGTATTAGTCTCTAAGTCTAAATTACTGGGCTGAACAGATTTTTATAAATGGACGTGTCACTTTTATCGTTTAAAAAAGTCAGTAGAACTAAACATGAAAGTGATTCTTCTGATTTTTTGGGGGGTGGTTATTTGCACATGGAAACAACAACAAAAATGCTTCAGATACAATTTAGAGAGAAGGGTGGGTGAAGGTTCACAGCACTGGCTGAAGATATGAAAAAAAAATTCAAGTTTTTTTAGGGGAAAAACCTAAGGACTAATTCAGCTTCCAAAACACAAGCCCTAAAAACCAAGCAAGCTGCCAGGAATCCCAAGGATTCTGAAGAAGCCTAGGCTGGATGGCAGTGGTACCTAGGAGGCCCTCCTCAAAAAGGGAAGGATTGCCATGTGCGGTTCCCCAACTAACATGGCTCTGTGACCTCACACTATGTACTGAGGACTGCTACTTGCCACAGAGGAGGTGAAAAAAAGAACAGGGAGGCAAGGATCAGCCCAAACCACTGCCATGTAACCTAAACACAACACTGATGGTCCTTATCCAGGTCGCCACCATATTTGCCTGAATACTACAGTCCTCTCTAAACTAGGCCTTTGGCTTTGACATTTCCTACCCTTCACCCTTGCCACAATCCACTCTCCCCATAGCAGCCCAAGTAATATTTTAAAATCAGATCATGCTCCTCCCCTACATACTTTCAACATACTCTTTAATACCCACCCCATCACAACTCAAATAAAATCCAGCCTCCTTATAATGTGCAAAGCTCAGCTTGCTCTGGCCTTTGCCTATTCCCCATGTTTTTATGCACTACTCTCCCCCTCCCTATGTCTCAACCTTGTTGGGCTCCATCAGTTCCTAGGAAATACCCAGGTCTGTTCTGTTTCATGGCCTTTGCACTTAAAGTTCCCTATGCCCAGCTCTTGAAAGATGGCTCCTTTGGTTTTTTTTGTTTGAGACGGAGTCTCACACTATCACCCGGGCTGGAATGCAGTGGTGTGATCTCGGCTCACTGCAACCTCTGCCTCCCAGGTTCAGGTGATTCTCCTGCCTCAGCCTCCCAAGCAGCTGGGATTACAGGCATGTGCCACCACGCCCAGCTAATTTTTTGTATTTTTAGTAGAGATGGGGTTTCACTATGTTGGCCAGGCTGGTCTCAAACTCCTGACCTCGTGATCTGCCTGCCTCGGGCTCCCAAGTGCTGGGATTACAGGCGTGAGCCACCGCGCCCAGCCAAAAGACAGCTCCTTTGTGTTCTTCAGTCTAAACTTTAATTTCACTGCCCCCAAAAAGAGCCCTCTGTCCAAAAACATCTCCCCCCCTTACATTATCCCAGGACACAGCATCCTATGCTTTATCTCTTTCTATTTTTTATTTTATTATTATTATACTTTAAGTTTTAGGGCACATGTGCACAATGTGCAGGTTATCTCTTTCAAATAGCACCTAATGTGCTGGGCTTCCCTTTGTTTATTTGTTTGTGATCTGGATCCTCCATAAGAATGGAAGTTTCTGAGCACAGGAAGCAGATTCATTATTCAACTCTGTATCCCTAATGCCTACTACACATACTGGCACTTACTAGGCTTTCAACAAATATTCTTAAATGCATGGATAAGCAATCAGAGGACATGGGTTTGTGGGCTTATACAAAAGGTAAAAGTGTATAAATGTATAAGAGGGTGATAAGTTTACAGAAAAACATCATGTAAGAAGCATTTGTAAGATACCTGAAAACTAGCACTGAAAAATATGAAGCCAACTTGATAATTAACATTAGGCATGAGCTCCATGGATTCTGGCATTATCTGAGTTGCACATTCCACTTACTTGCTATCTGATCATCCCCACTTTTATTCTGCCTTCTGCATCTTAATCCCTAATTAACCACTGGATGACAGAGATGATATGACACAGGGAGAAAATGAAGGGAGTAAGAAATACTATTTTTGGCCAGGCACAGTGGCTCACACCTGTAATCCCAGCACTTTGAGATGCCAAAGCAGGTGGATCACTTGAGCCCAGGAGTTCAGGACCAGCCTGGGCAACATGGCAAAACCCTGCCTCTACAAAAAATACAAAAATTAGTCAAGCATGATGGCATGTGCCTGTAGTCCCAACTACTCCGGAGGTTGAAGTGGAAGGATCACTTGAGCCCAGAAGGTCAAGAATGCAATGAACAGTGATCAGCCTGTGTGACAGAGCATGTCTAAAAAAAACCCCAACATATTTTTAAAACCTTTAAAAGCAAGGTGAATGGTGATGTTAGTCATTAAGATATTAATATCTTAATGATTTTTTATTAATAAAAAAGCAAATCGCTTGGTTGAGAAATAGCTGTGAAGCTCAGCTACAGCTGAGTGATTTATTGGAGGCAAGACTCTGCTACCAGTATGAGGCAGCAGCAAAGAAAGCCCAGATAAAATTTGTGTCATTTGGAAGCCAATACATTGCTCTAACTCATCTTTCCAGATGTATGACATTTTAGAGCTTGATTAAAGCATGCTGTAAATAAAGATTACTCACCATGCCTGCCAGCTGGGGAAGAAGAACAAAGGAGATTGGATTATTATTTGGTAGGAGAAGAGAGTTCTGTATCGTGCAGGAAAGAAAGGTTCTATCCTGTCTGCTTTTTGTAGATGACTCAAAAATCAAGGCAACAGAGTTTGGAGAAAATGCAGACAGAGTCTAACATCTTGGTAAAAGCACTATTCTTTCCAAAGGGAAGAGGATGTGAGAAATGGGACAACATACAGCCATAAATCAGCGGCCTGCAGCCAGCTGTCAAGAAACAAAGACTTTTTGCCTGGGAGGGAAAATGACATTGCAGGGAGGTGCGCTGAATTTGGAAAGCTGAAAGATCCAACCTCTCTTTACTCTAAATTTTTCCCATGTAGATATCTATAACTATCATTTATATATATGTACACACATACACACAAATGTATCTATATCTTTGTATAGTATATATGTGTATACTATATGTATATTATATGCATATTTATATGTTATGTAAGTATCAGAGGTGGAGTTACTCTGAATTAAATGAACACTTGCTTTAGACCTGTACTGTTCAACATGGCAGCCACAAGCCACATGCAGCTATTAAAATTAATTAGAATTAAATAAAAATTCAGCTTCTCAGTTGCACTAGCCACATTTGAAATGCTCAAAGCCACATGTGTCTTGTGGCTACTGTACTGGACATCACAGGGAACACTTCCATCACTGCAGAAACTTCTATTGGACAATGCTGCTTTAGACTTCTCTCTTGCAGGGGTCCCCCCTTGCAATGCCTTTCCTGGCAGGAACCCTAGCCATGTTGTTCGCACAATCACATACTCTTATAAAATAAAATATGCAAAAGTTAATGGTTATGATTTCTTTTTTGTTCTAAATAACACTTACTTTTGAAATACCTTTGCACCCACTTTTAGATTTGCGATTTTTTATGGAGTCCCTTAAATTTTAAAATATCAGGTCTCAATATACTTGGATTTGCCCTTGAGTCATTACAATTTACATGGTTCCTATGTCATAAAACCCACCGCACTAACTGAGCCCCAAAACAACCCATCTTCATGACTCAATGTATACATGTGTTTTGATTCCCATCATGGTTCTATTCTGCTACAAAAAGACAGAGTTCCAATAGACACTGCATTCAAAGTTTTTAAATGTCTGTCTTTGAGACCAATGTTCTCTACTGAAATAGGCTCTAATTTATTTTTCTTCCCCCAAAATATCTGGAGGAAACTTTTGGCTCCTCTTTTCTGTCATATTGTTATTTGGAAAGTCATTATGCATTTGTAGATGAACACTGAAGAGTCAACTCTCTCCTAATCTTGCACATGAAATTTTTTTTGATGGTATCAACACATATTTTGATAGAACAAGCTGTTAGAAAGGTTTAAAACAAATTCTAATCAGCATTTGCCAAATCAAAATGTCATTTTGATTTTAAAATTTTGAGAAAGAAAAAATATTGGCAGAATGAGTATTACTATGAATTTTTAAAGCAAATCAATCAGTCCAACAAAAAATAATCAAACATATCTTCCCGGGAAAGGAATAACAAACAATAAACCAAAGTCAGGACTCGCACCCACCAGGACACCCTATTATCACGGCTGCTTCTTTCATGCCAGGTGAATTCAATTCTGTCAGTTACTGTCAGGCATTAATAATCATCTTTTAAAAAGTTCCGTGTGACTCTCAAGTGATTGATTTCACTATTAGGTGAATTCAGACATCAAATCTCAATTTTCTTTAGATTAAAAGCACTCAATAGATTATTTCTTACTGCTTGACATGGGTTTCAATAGACATGATAGCAACCAGAGAGGGAGTTAAAAGTCACCAGTCTATGCTGACTCAAAAATACATGCAGTGACATCTCCAATTTTAAGAAATTGGCTGGTGAATTCAATTCTGAGTGTAGGTTTCTCTGCTTTTCTTGTATGAATGCTGACAACTTGGGTGATCATTTTAAGCAGGGTACTTACGACTGCGGTCTCGCACATACTGAATGAGCTCACATGTCTGCAGTTCGAAAATAAAACAGAAACAATTAAACAACAAACTGCTAGGCCCTGAGGTTTAAAAATAAGTAAATTGAATGGAGCACTCAGAGCACTCTGTTGTAGTCGGGAGATACGTACAGAAAATGAAGCCAAGCCTTTGGCTCCTTTCACACCCTAGGAAAACAAACAAAACATTGTTTTAATGCCTCTAGACATACACATCAGTAGCCAGTGTGCACCAACATTGCCCTCAGAAAGTGATAACTTTTAAAAGTTTTATTCTCATTAAATTGTAAGAGGCAAAAAAGAATGCAGGTAGGTACTCATTACCTAATTAACAGTAACATTCTGGAAAGAACAAACTTTAAGCAGCAAGCTTGGTGCACACAAGCCTTGAGAGGCCGCTTTCCTCCGGGTCCATCTCTGGCTAACAAGCATTGTCCAGAATTACCAGGATGGAGCTGACAACCTGACACTTGCCGCAGAGCTCTGGAGCACGCCTACGCCTCAGGACTAGCTAAAGTGAGCCACACATGTGCAGTTGCCCTCTTTCATAGCAGAAGTTTCAAGGTCTTCAACCCCCATTCTTTGACTGAGCCACTGAACAGCAGCCAGAGCTGAACCTTAATCTGTTCCCATCATTTGTTAGCTGACAAAATGATCGGACTCAATTGAACATCTGGAAAGGTTATCTCAACTACCTTCCCAAAACAAAAAATACACACACACACACACACACACACACACACACACACACACACATATAATCTGTCAGAGTTTGGGATAGAAGAACAAATGGAACTGGTTTTAATCTTATGTGTTCAATCCCATCTTCAGAAGAAGAGGAGTCTGGCTTCTTTCAAAGAGAGACACCCAAGAAAAAAATGCAACAGAGCCCCCCCTGACCTCCTGAAGCAAATAAGTTCCATGTGAATGCAACATTGATCACAGTCACTATTTATTTCCTTTCACTTCCATTCATCCAATGATCATTTATTACATATAGAAAGATTGAACAGATACAGAATATGATAATTGAGAAATACCATTTTAGTTTAAGTACTTTTGGTTTCCTCCTTCAATTTCCCCTCTCTCTCAAGAGATGTATTTAATCAGTATTTTTTCACCTCTAAATATTTAATCAGTATTTTCTCCCCCATAAAGGTGGGAAAAAAGTGGCCAAGAAGCAGAGACAGAAGGCATGCACATTTGGACAATGAAGATTTCATGCACTGACTTTTTTTTTTTTAATGGAAAAGGACCTGCTGTGGTTTATAGTTTTTCTACTTACCTTACGTCCAGGAGGTCCTGGTTCCCCAGGGGATCCCATCTCTCCTGGAAGCCCAGCAGATATCTCAAAGGAGAATTTATTTTAAAATTGTATTTATACATATATGTATGTGTGTGTGTAAATTCAAATTTTAAAAAATTAAAATTCAAAGGTGAAAATTCAAAAGTGAAAATTTCACTTTTATTTTAGAAAATTGAGAGTTTTCCAAAAAACATAAAGAAGGAAAAAATATTCCCAGCAATCCCTTCTTCCCCAAATAATCCTCATTAACATTTTGATGTCTTTTCTTATTTTTTTTGGAATTAAGACATATATTCCTTTTTAAAACTCATTTGAATCATACTTTTCTCTGTTACCTTTTAAACTAAATATATCTCTGGACATTTTCAGTTAGTAAACATTATTTGGCAAAATCATTTTTCACAGCTGCATAGTATCCCATCACATGGTTGTACCATGATTTAGTTAGTCCCTTACTGTTTGTTGTTGTAACAGGCAATAGATAATTTAGTTAGTCCCTTACTGTTTGTTGCTGCAATAGGCAACAGGTAATAGGACCCCCACCCACCAGGACACCCTATTATCACAGCTGCTTCTTCCATACCAGGTGAATTCAATTCTGTCAGTTACTGTCAGGCATTAATAATCATCTTTTAAAAAGTTCCGTGTGACTCTCAAGTGATTGATTTCACTATTAGGTGATGCTATTATAAGGCAATGCTATTATAAAGTTATATGCATAATTCTGATTATTTCCTTAGGGAAGATTGCTAGGACTAGAATTGCTGGTCAAAGGAAAACTTTTTATCTAAATGGAGTGGTAGGTAACTAAACTGAAAAAACAAAAAGCAAAAAGTCTAGAAAAACAAAATTGAAATACAAAAACTTTTAAAACAACAGAAACACAATCATTATTTGGAAATATTGTAATGAAATGGGGAATAACAGCAACAAAAACAGTTGTTATCTGCTTACTAGATGTCAGAAATATTTTCACGTGCATTCAACAATAAGTTTATCATAAAGCTAGGACTTAGTTTAAAAATTGGAATATTTCTTTCTTCATTCAAAATGCCACAGGATTTACAACATTTACAGGAATAAAAAATGAAGTTTAAAATCAACTTAATTTGTAAAAGCATTACCTATAAAACAGTAAATAATGATTGATATCCTTTGGGCATTCCAATGATATTGACAGTGTGCTTGGTTGAGTGAAAAATAAAATATTTTTATTTAGAAGATAAAGGTTAACCTCCAAGGAGAAAATAGCAGATTGAGTACATATATTTACTTTCATTCCTTTCCAATATCTTACTAAAATGACAGTAAGTAGATTATTTTAAAGGCAAAAAACAATGGTGGGGAGAATGAAAAAGGAGATGACAGCCATAAAATGTGAATCTGGAAAGCAAATGTGTAAGTGTTAAATGACTGAACAGACCTGAGAAAGTTGAATCCTAAGCCAGCAGCAGGGAAAGCCAAGAACCAATGTGTTTTATATCATACGTCCCAGAAGGCTGAGGATTTGGCAGCACCGGGAACCTCCAGAAGTGGAGGTGAGGGAAAAAGGTGAAGTAAAGATGTTTAGTTGAAAATCATTTTAGGAATCTCCAAATCTCCTCTCTATTCTCAAGGGTTGGGTGAATGTCCCTTTTCCCACCCTAGCAACAAAGAGAGGTAAAACCAAGGTGGGACTCCAGGCTGAGTTGAGAACCTACAGTATCTGAGACAGGGAGAGTAAATGAGGGTATGTACAGTAAATGTGTGAGTCTCCAGCTCTCTTTTTCTATATGGCTCCTAGAAAGCTGGCAGCCAGACCTTTACTCTCCAGGTAGGAAACTGTAAGAAGTTTTTTCAGGAGAACTTCACTAGACAAAGAAGAAAGACCAAAAGATATTGATTTCAGAGGTTTGCTAAACAAAGAATTTAGCTAGATCACTCTCTTTGGGAAACCGGTAGTTGACAAGCCCCACTCATGTTCTCAGAGCTTCCAATCAGTCATTTTTTTTTTTTTTTTTTTTTGAGACAGGATCTCAGTCTCACCCAGGCTCGAATGCAGTAGTGCAATCTTAGCTCAATGCAGCCAAGACTTTCTGGGCTCAGGTGATCCTCACACCTCAGCCCCCTGGTAGCTGGGGCTACAGGTACATGCCACCACGCGTGGCTAATTTTTGTATTTTTTGTAGAGATGGGGTTTGGCCATGTTGCTCAGGCTGGTCTCAAACTGCTGGGCTGAAGCAATCTGCCTGCTTAGGCCTCCCAGAGTGCTGGGATGATAGGCGTGAGCCACCGCACCTGACCCCAATCAGTCTTTTTGTCTTCAATTCTTAAATATGAAGAAATAGCTCATTCCTGAAAAATCTGAGTAATAGAGTTCAAAACAGAAAGGAAAATAAAATGCAGGAAACAGACTATGTTGGGCAAAAAAGACAAAAATATTTATATTTTCAGAAAGGTAAGATATTTTAATCATGAAACAAAAACAGTATGCTATAAAAAGGAACATTCAGAGAACAATAACAAGCTCTTGAAAATTCAAGTATGAAACACTGTAAGATAAACTCAACGAACTCTCCCAGAAAGTAGAGCAAAAAGACAAAAAGCTGGACGACAGAACAGAAAAAATAAGAAAATTAATACTAATACACCCAATAATAGGTATTTTATAAATAGGGAATAGAGAACATAAAGGGCAAGAAATCATCAAAATAATTGACCAACACTTCTTTGGAGGACACATATTTCCAGGCTCCTAGTGCCTATGAAGGACCTACCTAATGCCCAGGAAAATGGATAAAAATGGACATCAACTCATAAAACCCAGGAAATATCAAAACACTGCAGACAGAGAAATTATGCAATAAGGTGCCAGAGAGAGAACACTGGCCACATCAGGAATCAGAATGGCTTTGGGCTTCCCCAAGTAACAAAAGAAGTTAGAAATAATGGAGGAATGACAGCCTTCAAAATTCTGAGAAATTAATTCCAACCCAGAACTGTTGGAATATCCAATCCAAAATATCCAATCACATCTCAAGGTACTACAAATCCTTTCAGATGTTAGCTGTTTCAAAAACTATACCTTTCATTCACCCCTTCTTAGCAGGCTACTGGATGAGTTTTCCACGAAACAAGGGAGAAATCCAACAAGAGGAGTCTGAGAATAAGAATGAGAAGCAGAGATCCAACGCAGAAGAGAGGCAAAGGGAAGGGTGAAGGTGAAGGACAATTGCAGTATGGCAGCTGGGCACCAGCCACAGACGAACCTCCATCAGGTGGGTCAGGTTGGAAGGCTCTGCGTTGGGATTAAGTTGGAGAGAACACTTGCCTCATCTAAATGTTTTCAGACAGGATTTAGATAAGGGAAAATCAAGAAAGGTACATCAGCAACTTTTATAGCAGGAGGAATCAGTTCATAATGCTTAAAATTTATAAATCAAAAAAGTAAGAAGGTAAGTATGATATTTAGAGGCATATTGTCAATTCTGAAACAAATCAGTTCAGAAGTGACAGCTGTTGTTTCTGGGGAGAAGGAAATGGGAGTGAGTGAGGGGGTGAAGGATTTTTTTTTTTTTAATATAACAAACTTTGTTATTTGACTCTCTAAACCAGTGGTTCTTAGCAAGGGAGAATTTTGACTCCTTTTTTTCCCTGGGACATATGGCAATGTCTGAAGATGTTTTTGATTGTCATAACCTGGGGTGTGGGTAGGACAGAGGGTAGTTGATGCTGGAATCTAGTGGGTAGGTGCCAAGGATGTGGATAAACATTCTACAAGGCACAGGACAGCCCCTCAACAAAGCCTTATCCAGCCCAAAATGTCAACAGTGCTGATATGGAGAAACCCTGCTTTAAACTATGTGCGTGCTTTTAAAGGTGGGAAAAAGAAAAACAAAATGCATACAAACATACATATATACACAAAATAAAACAGGTTAAAAATCATAGCAAAATTTAAAAAATGTTTTTTGAGGAAAAAAAAATCAAGGTGAAGATTTAGAGAATTTAAACAAGGAGTATAATCATTCAAAGAGAACTGACGAAGCATTCAGAATTTAAGTTGAAGTTTTACCAAAATCTTCCAATAGAAACTTCAGCTCTTTTAGAGGGAAAACCTGGATATTTTCAATGTCTAAACTTCAACTTCAAATCCAAAAACACTAATGTAAAGCTGGAAAAAGTAGCTGGGTGGGTGGAAAGAGCAAGTTAAGAACAGTGATAAATTGTCCAAAATGGAGAAAAAAAAATTTTCAAACATTTTCAAAGGCCAACAGAAAAAGTTTATGTTTCCCATTCGTTTATTGTCTTTAAAAATGAATAATGTGACTTTGTGGGGAGGGATCCAACCATGAACTTGTTAGCGTGCTTCTGATGTTCAAGGTTAAACTTCTTAATTAATAAGCCAAGGGAAATAAATGATCCAGAGATAGTTCAATGCAGATGACATCTGGATTAATTTGAAAGTCTTTTCCAATTATTTTTCTAATTATATCTGTCTTCATCTTTTTTTTTTAGAGCATAATGTTAATGGATAGCCATCCAAAAACATGTATGAGGACAAGCATTATAGGTGGGAAGCAGTTCTCATTGGAGGAGGGGGAGGGGGAGGGAGAGAGGGGGAGGGAGAGAAGGGGAGGGGGAGGGGGAGGGAGAGAAGGGGGAGGGGGAGGGAGAGGAAGGGGAGGGGGAAGGAGAGGAGGGGGAGGGAGAGGAAGGGGAGGGAGAGGAAGGGGAGAGAGAGGGGGACAAAGGGCAGGGGAGGGGGAGGGGGAGGGGGAAGGGGAGGGGAGGGGGAGGGGAGGAAGGGGGAGGAAGGGGAGGGGGAGGGGGAGGAAGGGGAAGGGAAGGAAGGGGAGGGGGGGAGGAGGAAGGGGAGGGGGAGGGGAGGAGGAAGGGGAGGGGGAGGGGAGGGGGAGGGGAGGGGAGGAGGAAGGGGAGGGGGAGGGGAGGGGAGGAGGAAGGGGAGGGGGAAGGGGAGGAAGAGGCAGAAGAAGAGGAGTTTCCTTATTTTGTACCCCTAAAACCTACACAAGTAATATCTATACATAAAGATCGTATAGTTTGTAGAAACAAAAATAGATCAGAGCAAAATTAGCTATGAAGACAAAACTGGAAAACCATTTCAAGTATACATTTTTATCAGACTTTTAAAATTCTTGCTAATTGACATGATAAATTAAGACCAGTTTGCCTGATCAGTGCTGTTCTGAAGAAAAAAGATGATCACTGTATCAAGAGACAATTATCTTAGGACTGTCTTTTAAAAAACTAAAACAGCATTCTCACTTATACACAGTCTAAGATATATAGAGAGTCAGCAAATGCAAGAAATCCATTCTTAATCCACAGGAACCCAAGGCAAGCCTACAGGATGAATTGTACTGGAGACCTGTGTTTATTCCAAGTGACTCAAAGCACTAGGCAATATCTAAGAACCTCTACAGAATAAAGACCTACTCAGTTACACAGTAAGCAAACTTTCTCACAAAGCTCAAGAGATAACCTCCTTGAGCTAAATGAGAAGACCTTTCTGCATGTATCTCATTAAAAGTAGATTAACAAAACCTGAATAGTGAAGACAAGATGCCAGTGGGCATTAGGTTGCAGTAAACCTGCCAGGGAGACAGGATTAAACTAACTACATTTTGGCAGTGTAAAAGCTGTTTTGAATCACAAGGATTTCTTTTAAAAAATCTTATTACCAGTGTTAAGTATGGTACCCTGGCAGCTAAAACAGGTGAACTTGCTCACTAAAAGCAAACAGTTCATTGTTTTTGCACTGGCATTGAGAGATGACTATCCATTCCCCTTCCCCAAGTTTGCCTTAATAGAAAACACATGCATTTTGCAAGTCACTGGTAACAAAAGACAACTCAAATTATTGTAAATGCACAAAGGAGGACTTCCCAATGTAGTGAGGTTGTCAGCAATTGGAATCTAAGAAGCTTACCATTTTGCCTCTAGCTCCCTTCAGCCCAGTCTCTCCTGGACCACCAGGGTCCCCAATCTCACCCTAAATACATTTATTAAAGTAAAATAGTTATTAAAATCAAACATATACATATGTAACATATTTGCATCTTTAAACTGATTCTAACATGAAGACATTTTTCGTATGCATTTTTAACAGTCATCTTTGAAGAGTGTGAGTGTGTGTGTTTCCATTTGTGTAACTCTCTACATAGCACACTGCGTCAGCATTGTTTCACTCTGCTGTCTCCCCAGTGAGAACACTGGCTCTTTGGAGAAATGAACTTTGTTCTTTATTTTATCCTCTGACTCTATCATAGGACCTGGCATTTACTGAGTTCAGTAAGGGTTTCTAGAAAAAGTGGTATCTCCAAGGTAGAAGATGTCATTGCTAACTAGTTATCTAAAGATGATTTATAAACATATTGGGAAAACTGAGACAGGTAAAATCAAATAACTCTTATTTTCTTTACATTACACTTTTCTTTCTACTTTTATTTTTTTTTGGAGACAGAGTCTCACTGTGTCACCCAAGCTGGAGTGCAGTGGAGAGATCTCAGCTTACTATAACCTCCATCTCCTGGGTTCAAGTGATCCTCCCACCTTAGGCTCCTGAGTAGCTGGGACTACAGGCATGCACCACCACGCCTAGCTAATTTTTGTATTTTTCGTAGAGATGGGGTTTTGCCATGTTGGCCAGGCTGGTCTCGAATCCCTGACTTCAAGTGATCCACCTGCCTTGGCCTCCCAAAGTGCTGGGATTACAGGCATGAGCCACCACGCCTGGCCTTACATTATACTTTTCTTTCAGTAAATAAGAAAATATATATGATAGAGGGAAGGAGTAAATTTGAGGAAAAAATTTTAAAAGGATAAGTTTTCTATCTTCTCATACTAATTAAAAAACTAGAAATACTTTTTAAGCCTTACACTCCTAAACAAATGTATAATCTTAAAAATTGAAAAAATATTGGTCTATTTCTTTCTTCCCTCCTTCTCCGCACAAAGGTAGGACATTTATTTATCATTAACTGTTCTTCTACTGGCCTAGGATACATTTCATAAACCCCAGGAGTATTTCTGACTGATCTCTAGTTACTAGGAAGCACACGGTACCTTAGGTCCACTTTCTCCAGGGAATCCTTCTTGTCCCTGTAATGGACAGGAGGAAAGATTTATACAGGCACACATCACCCAATGAAGTCTACATTGATTTTCAATTTACCTGCTGCCCTGTGTAGTTTTGGTACCTCTGAATTAAGGAAGGGCCAAAACAATTGAAATCTGGAAGTGAAATAGCAGTATTTGAGAAACAAACTAAATTATAAGTTAAAGTATTTAAGGGTTTCATCAACATATCATAACTACCTAGGTGGCTAAAAGTATACATCTGAAGAGTTACAATTCGGCTTTCCTTCTTTTGTATGCATATAACCGCATAGGTGGTCATTTGGCCATGTGTCTCTGACACGATCTTTTTTTTTTTTTTTTTTTTTTTTATTTATTTATTTATTTATTTATTTATTTATTTTTTTTTTTAACATTTTATAGCTTGAGATTTATTTTAAGAAATCAACTGCTATTTCACGGATTTGACAAAGGAAAGTAATATTGACAAACTGTTTCCCTGAAATGCTGCTACAGGGATTTAGAATGTAACTGGCATTTTTTTTTTTTTTTTTTTTTTTTATTATACTCTAAGTTTTAGGGTACATGTGCACATTGTGCAGGTTAGTTACATATGTATACATGTGCCATGCTGGTGCGCTGCACCCACTAATGTGTCATCTAGCATTAGGTATATCTCCCAATGCTATCCCTCCCCCCTCCCCCGACCCCACCACAGTCCCCAGAGTGTGATATTCCCCTTCCTGTGTCCATGTGATCTCATTGTTCAATTCCCACCTATGAGTGAGAATATGCGGTGTTTGGTTTTTTGTTCTTGCGATAGTTTACTGAGAATGATGGTTTCCAATTTCATCCATGTCCCTACAAAGGATATGAACTCATCATTTTTTATGGCTGCATAGTATTCCATGGTGTATATGTGCCACATTTTCTTAATCCAGTCTATCATTGTTGGACATTTGGGTTGGTTCCAAGTCTTTGCTATTGTGAATAGTGCCGCAATAAACATACGTGTGCATGTGTCTTTATAGCAGCATGATTTATACTCATTTGGGTATATACCCAGTAATGGGATGGCTGGGTCAAATGGTATTTCTAGTTCTAGATCCCTGAGGAATCGCCACACTGACTTCCACAATGGTTGAACTAGTTTACAGTCCCACCAACAGTGTAAAAGTGTTCCTATTTCTCCGCATCCTCTCCAGCACCTGTTGTTTCCTGACTTTTTAATGATTGCCATTCTAACTGGTGTGAGATGATATCTCATAGTGGTTTTGATTTGCATTTCTCTGATGGCCAGTGATGATGAGCATTTCTTCATGTGTTTTTTGGCTGCATAAATGTCTTCTTTTGAGAAGTGTCTGTTCATGTCCTTCGCCCACTTTTTGATGGGGTTGTTTGTTTTTTTCTTGTAAATTTGTTTGAGTTCATTGTAGATTCTGGATATTAGCCCTTTGTCAGATGAGTAGGTTGCAAAAATTTTCTCCCATGTTGTAGGTTGCCTGTTCACTCTGATGGTAGTTTCTTTTGCTGTGCAGAAGCTCTTTAGTTTAATTAGATCCCATTTGTCAATTTTGTCTTTTGTTGCCATTGCTTTTGGTGTTTTGGACATGAAGTCCTTGCCCACGCCTATGTCCTGAATGGTAATGCCTAGGTTTTCTTCTAGGGTTTTTATGGTTTTAGGTTTAACGTTTAAATCTTTAATCCATCTTGAATTGATTTTTGTATAAGGTGTAAGGAAGGGATCCAGTTTCAGCTTTCTACATATGGCTAGCCAGTTTTCCCAGCACCATTTATTAAACAGGGAATCCTTTCCCCATTGCTTGTTTTTCTCAGGTTTGTCAAAGATCAGATAGTTGTAGATATGCGGCATTATTTCTGAGGGCTCTGTTCTGTTCCATTGATCTATATCTCTGTTTTGGTACCAGTACCATGCTGTTTTGGTTACTGTAGCCTTGTAGTATAGTTTGAAGTCAGGTAGTGTGATGCCTCCAGCTTTGTTCTTTTGGCTTAGGATTGACTTGGCAATGCGGGCTCTTTTTTGGTTCCATATGAACTTTAAAGTAGTTTTTTCCAATTCTGTGAAGAAAGTCATTGGTAGCTTGATGGGGATGGCATTGAATCTGTAAATTACCTTGGGCAGTATGGCCATTTTCACGATATTGATTCTTCCTACCCATGAGCATGGAATGTTCTTCCATTTGTTTGTCTCCTCTTTTATTTCCTTGAGCAGTGGTTTGTAGTTCTCCTTGAAGAGGTCCTTCACATCCCTTGTAAGTTGGATTCCTAGGTATTTTATTCTCTTTGAAGCAATTGTGAATGGGAGTTCACTCATGATTTGGCTCTCTGTTTGTCTGTTGTTGGTGTATAAGAATGCTTGTGATTTTTGTACATTGATTTTGTATCCTGAGACTTTGCTGAAGTTGCTTATCAGCTTAAGGAGATTTTGGGCTGAGACGATGGGGTTTTCTAGATAAACAATCATGTCGTCTGCAAACAGGGACAATTTGACTTCCTCTTTTCCTAATTGAATACCCTTTATTTCCTTCTCCTGCCTGATTGCCCTGGCCAGAACTTCCAACACTATGTTGAATAGGAGCGGTGAGAGAGGGCATCCCTGTCTTGTGCCAGTTTTCAAAGGGAATGCTTCCAGTTTTTGCCCATTCAGTATGATATTGGCTGTGGGTTTGTCATAGATAGCTCTTATTATTTTGAAATACGTCCCATCAATACCTAATTTATTGAGAGTTTTTAGCATGAAGGGTTGTTGAATTTTGTCAAAGGCTTTTTCTGCATCTATTGAGATAATCATGTGGTTTTTGTCTTTGGCTCTGTTTATATGCTGGATTACATTTATTGATTTGCGTATATTGAACCAGCCTTGCATCCCAGGGATGAAGCCCACTTGATCATGGTGGATAAGCTTTTTGATGTGCTGCTGGATTCGGTTTGCCAGTATTTTATTGAGGATTTTTGCATCAATGTTCATCAAGGATATTGGTCTAAAATTCTCTTTTTTGGTTGTGTCTCTGCCCGGCTTTGGTATCAGAATGATGCTGGCCTCATAAAATGAGTTAGGGAGGATTCCCTCTTTTTCTATTGATTGGAATAGTTTCAGAAGGAATGGTACCAGTTCCTCCTTGTACCTCTGGTAGAATTCGGCTGTGAATCCATCTGGTCCTGGACTCTTTTTGGTTGGTAAACTATTGATTATTGCCACAATTTCAGAGCCTGTTATTGGTCGATTCAGAGATTCAACTTCTTCCTGGTTTAGTCTTGGGAGAGTGTATGTGTCGAGGAATGTATCCGTTTCTTCCAGATTTTCTAGTTTATTTGCATAGAGGTGTTTGTAGTATTCTCTGATGGTAGTTTGTATTTCTGTGGGATCGGTGGTGATATCCCCTTTATCATTTTTTATTGTGTCTATTTGATTCTTCTCTCTTTTTTTCTTTATTAGTCTTGCTAGCGGTCTATCAATTTTGTTGATCCTTTCAAAAAACCAGCTCCTGGATTCATTGATTTTTTGAAGGGTTTTTTGTGTCTCTATTTCCTTCAGTTCTGCTCTGATTTTAGTTATTTCTTGCCTTCTGCTAGCTTTTGAATGTGTTTGCTCTTGCTTTTCTAGTTCTTTTAATTGTGATGTTAGGGTGTCAATTTTGGATCTTTCCTGCTTTCTCTGGTAGGCATTTAGTGCTATAAATTTCCCTCTACACACTGCTTTGAATGCGTCCCAGAGATTCTGGTATGTGGTGTCTTTGTTCTCGTTGGTTTCAAAGAACATCTTTATTTCTGCCTTCATTTCGTTATGTACCCAGTAGTCATTCAGGAGCAGGTTGTTCAGTTTCCATGTAGTTGAGCGGCTTTGAGTGAGATTCTTAATCCTGAGTTCTAGTTTGATTGCACTGTGGTCTGAGAGATAGTTTGTTATAATTTCTGTTCTTTTACATTTGCTGAGGAGAGCTTTACTTCCAACTATGTGGTCAATTTTGGAATAGGTGTGGTGTGGTGCTGAAAAAAATGTATATTCTGTTGATTTGGGGTGGAGAGTTCTGTAGATGTCTATTAGGTCTGCTTGGTGCAGAGCTGAGTTCAATTCCTGGGTATCCTTGTTGACTTTCTGTCTTGTTGATCTGTCTAATGTTGACAGTGGGGTGTTAAAGTCTCCCATTATTAATGTGTGGGAGTCTAAGTCTCTTTGTAGGTCACTGAGGACTTGCTTTATGAATCTGGGTGCTCCTGTATTGGGTGCATAAATATTTAGGATAGTTAGCTCCTCTTGTTGAATTGATCCCTTTACCATTATGTAATGGCCTTCTTTGTCTCTTTTGATCTTTGTTGGTTTAAAGTCTGTTTTATCAGAGACTAGGATTGCAACCCCTGCCTTTTTTTGTTTTCCATTGGCTTGGTAGATCTTCCTCCATCCTTTTATTTTGAGCCTATGTGTGTCTCTGCACGTGAGATGGGTTTCCTGAATACAGCACACTGATGGGTCTTGACTCTTTATCCAACTTGCCAGTCTGTGTCTTTTAATTGCAGAATTTAGTCCATTTATATTTAAAGTTAATATTGTTATGTGTGAATTTGATCCTGTCATTATGATGTTAGCTGGTGATTTTGCTCATTAGTTGATGCAGTTTCTTCCTAGTCTCGATGGTCTTTACATTTTGGCATGATTTTGCAGCGGCTGGTACCGGTTGTTCCTTTCCATGTTTAGTGCTTCCTTCAGGAGCTCTTTTAGGGCAGGCGTGGTGGTGACAAAATCTCTCAACATTTGCTTGTCTATAAAGTATTTTATTTCTCCTTCACTTATGAAGCTTAGTTTGGCTGGATATGAAATTCTGGGTTGAAAATTCTTTTCTTTAAGAATGTTGAATATTGGCCCCCACTCTCTTCTGGCTTGTAGGGTTTCTGCCGAGAGATCCGCTGTTAGTCTGATGGGCTTTCCTTTGAGGGTAACCCGACCTTTCTCTCTGGCTGCCCTTAACATTTTTTCCTTCATTTCAACTTTGGTGAATCTGACAATTATGTGTCTTGGAGTTGCTCTTCTCGAGGAGTATCTTTGTGGCGTTCTCTGTATTTCCTGAATCTGAACGTTGGCCTGCCTTGCTAGATTGGGGAAGTTCTCCTGGATAATATCCTGCAGAGTGTTTTCCAACTTGGTTCCATTCTCCACATCACTTTCAGGTACACCAATCAGACGTAGATTTGGTCTTTTCACATAGTCCCATATTTCTTGGAGGCTTTGCTCATTTCTTTTTATTCTTTTTTCTCTAAACTTCCCTTCTCGCTTCATTTCATTCATTTCATCTTCCATTGCTGATACCCTTTCTTCCAGTTGATCGCATCGGCTCCTGAGGCTTCTGCATTCTTCACGTAGTTCTCGAGCCTTGGTTTTCAGCTCCATCAGCTCCTTTAAGCACTTCTCTGTATTGGTTATTCTAGTTATACATTCTTCTAAATTTTTTTCAAAGTTTTCAACTTCTTTGCCTTTGGTTTGAATGTCCTCCCGTAGCTCAGAGTAATTTGATCGTCTGAAGCCTTCTTCTCTCAGCTCGTCAAAATCATTCTCCATCCAGCTTTGTTCTGTTGCTGGTGAGGAACTGCGTTCCTTTGGAGGAGGAGAGGCGCTCTGTGTTTTAGAGTTTCCAGTTTTTCTGTTCTGTTTTTTCCCCATCTTTGTGGTTTTATCTACTTTTGGTCTTTGATGATGGTGATGTACAGATGGGTTTTCGGTGTAGATGTCCTTTCTGGTTGTTAGTTTTCCTTCTAACAGACAGGACCCTCAGCTGCAGGTCTCAGATGGAAATGCAGAAATCACCGTCTTCTGCGTCGCTCACGCAGGGAGCTGTAGACCGGAGCTGTTCCTATTCGGCCATCTTCGACACGATCTTAAAATGGATTTCATTGGAGAAATTTGGAAAGCCTATGGAGAGTCTAAACTTGATCATTCATTTTAGGGTCCTCTGTTTACCTTACTTTGTTCAAAGACTATAATTGAAGAGATATAATAATCCCTACTGGATAAAAAAGTATATAATTAATTTAAAATAAAGCTCATTTCCTGATTATAATAAATCCTCAAACATGTATAAAATCAAAAAATAGAAAGAAGAAAAATCACCAAAATCTTACTGCCCAGAAAGATTATATACATTTTGTTATTTCCTTTTAGCTTTTAAAAATGCAATGTAACACAATTGGGATAAATGTTTTTCTGAGTATATTCTAAATTTTTACTTGAAAGTGTCACATAAAAATTTATTTACATAATTATAAACTTCATATACATTCATTTTATAGGGTGGCTAATGTTCCAATGCCATAGGCTACTTAATATTTCCCTTCTTGTAAGATGTTAAGGGATTATATTATGGAATATTAACTGTTCTCTGTTCTAATGAACATTTCACTGGAAATCCCTCATTCATTAGTTTTATTTTTCAAATAGTTCTAGTTTTTGGTCCTTTATTCTTCCAGATGGCCTCTTGCATTATTCCCGTTGGGATTTCACTTGGAATTATGTTCATCCTTCAATATTTTAGACTTTCCAACAAGATCTTGGAATGCCTCTCCATTTATTGAAGTTCTCTTTTCTGTCTCAGCAATTCACTGTTACAGGTCTCAAACATTTTGCAGACATGATATCCTTAACTATATTATGTTTTTTGTATTTTGTAATTATGGTGGGATCTTTTTCATTCTGACTTCTTAGTGGTGATTGCTAGTATACAGAAATCACTGGTCTTGGTAAACTTATCCCTCAGTTCCAGCCACCTAAATATTCAGTGACAATATCAAATTACTCTTCTGATATACAGTTTTATTTTTAAGTTATTGCTTGGGCCAGTACATTTAGAAAACTCCTGCACAACCTCTCATTACTGGCTAAATCAAACATAATAATAAGAGGACTGATTTTGGAATGCTTCCCTGAGTAAACTTGAGCCTGGAGTGGCTAAGATTACATGCACTGTTCAGGCTGGAACAAGTCAGACTAGGGCCGCATATCACTGCAGAAAACAGAAAATTTATTTTCAAGTTTCACTTGTTGCCTGCACCTTAAACCATCACATTCTTTTCTATCACATTCCTCATGGGATAGCAGCAAATAAATTACTGAAATATATTTCTAACTGTCCAAGATTGCCTTATTCCCTGCTTCCCTTTTTCTCTTAAATGTGGCAAACAAAACCAGCAACAAAAAATAAATGGAAAACGTCCAGCTTCCAGCAGACTTGACTTACCTTTGCTCCCTTGCGTCCGACACTACCATAACCTGGACTGCCATCATTGCCCTGTAAACAGAGCAATTGATTACCAACATCCCAGACTACAGATAGAGACAGGCTTATTCTTCAAGAGGACAACATTGCCAGCTTTTTGGTTTGATAAAGGAAAAGCAGGACACAGGATCCTCCTTCTAGGGCAGGCCACCAACATTTTATGATAGTAGTACTAAAGGCAATTGTTAGTAACAGATACAGACAATGCACTGTCCCTAGGTATTCCCATCTGTAAGCTGGGAATAATAATTATACCTACTCATGGGTTGTCATGAGGATTAAATGAACAAAAAATCAGGCATATAATAATCTTTCAATAAGAGGAGATAATAGTATTACCTCTCCCTGATAACACTTCTATTTTAATACCATTTTCAGTTTGCTAGACAAAAACAACTAGTAAATGCCCCAGTATTGGCTACTGTCTGACCCTTGTAGAAACCCTGAGCAGTGGGGGAAGGATGGAATGGGTTTCTGACGAAGAGGCTCTGATAAAAGGAAAGGCTGGAAAAAGGGTTACGGGATTGCTGAAGACAAGTTTTGTTCATTTTACTATTTGGCTTCAAAAGCATTCTGGCCATGATGTTTGGCACCTGGGGAATTGCCACCTTGGGAAAGCTGGCCAAGGAACTAAGATGAAGACAATATCCCTCCTAATTTCTATAAAACTATAAAACTTCATGAGGATTGTATCCTTAAAACTCTCTTCAGAGAACCACACCAGATGTCTACTGAACTAAAAGATTCCAAGAATCCGATCAAAACTAGTGTCAAAATACAAACCTGCAAGCCACGAGGACCAGGAAAGCCAACAGCTCCTTTTTCTCCCAGATCTCCAGGTTCTCCCTGTTAAACAGAAAGATTGTTTTTAGGTTGGAAATTGGAAATGATGGCACTAATTCAGCTCATCTGTGTGGATCACACACAACAATGGGTTTGTGCCCAGAACTGTGTGTCGTGCAAGTGATACAAGAGGAACTGCTGTTGTTGGCCAGGGAGGTGTCCTCCATTGATCAGTGAAGCCTCAGCAAGCATGATTTATTGTTTAGGGCAAGTTGCCATCTTAGCAGCTCAATGCCATGAAAATGAGTCAAGAGAAAAGCTCTATACTGTTTTAAAAAAATTAACAAAATCGTTTCCAGGATGATTCATGCAAATCATCTGGCCTCTGCAAAGATGGCAGATTGATTAATCTAGTTTTAATATTCTGAGGGAGAATCAAGTTAACCAAGGGAGCATGATATCCTGGCAATAGTTTCTAACTTCTGACTAGTAGAACATCTACTGTGTGTTATTAATCAATCTCAGTATTATGTTGAGGAAAGTTCAGCTACATGGGAAATCAACACAGGTTTACAGAGGAAAGTTAACTCCTTTTTAAAAAAAGGTAACAATTTTAATTTTGGAATAGTTTTAAATTTACAGAAATGTTGTGAACATAATATGGAAAGTTCCTGTATGTCCACATCAATTTGCCCCTATTTTTAACATTACATTACACTAGTTGCATTTGTAGGGTACATTTGTCACAACCGAATCAATACTGATTTATTATTATTAACTAAAGCCCATACTTTATTCAGATTTTTTCTTTTTAACCTGATATTCCTTTCCTGTTCCAGGATCCCATCCAGGATCCACATGGTATGTCTCCGTAGGCTCCTTTAGACTGGGACAGTTTCTCAGACTTTTTGATAACCTTGACCATTTTGAGAAGTATTGGCCAGGCAGTCTGTAGAAAGTCCCCCATTGCTGTTTTTCTGATTAGACTGGGCTTATGGGTTTGGGGGAGGAACATTACACAGGTAAAAGGCCATTCTCATCACATCATATTAAGGGTATATACAATCAACATGACATCAGTGTTGATGTTAACCTTGATCTTCTGGTTGAGATAATGGCAGTCAAGTTTCCCTAATGCCAAGTTACTCTCCATCTCCCTCCCCTTCTCTACTGTACTCTTTGGAAGAAAGTGTGAAAGTATGTGCAACCTACACTTAAAAGGTGGGGAATCATCACATCTTTTTTAAGGACAGAAAACCAACATAAGGGAAAATGGACAAGTGACCACCAGCACTGAACTCTGGGGTAACGAAGAATAGGATTCTATATAAGGGAAGCAGGAGATCATCTGCCTTGATGCCTTTTAGGACAGCGGTTCTCAAAGTGTGCTGTGGGGACCACAGCCACATCCAGGGTTCATGTGTCAAGAAAATTCTTGGATCCCATTGGATTAGACTCTGGTAAGTGGAACCCAACAATATGTGCTTTTACATAAGCTTCTCAGCTGATTCATATGCACACTAAAATTTAAGAACATCTGCCTTATGGTAAGGAAACAAGGAAAGTCATATGGCTTTTCTAGGGCCACATGCTTGGTTATTGGTAGAGTCAAGTGTTAAGCCCAGGATTAACTGCCAGGTTGCTTGCCTCCTGGAAATGTGAACTTACTGGAGTAAGGTAGGGGTAAGTGTTTGAGGTTTATCTCAGTGAATCATGAGTCTAGAGTGCCCAGTCCACCCTGGGGCAATACAGAGGATTTGGGTTTTCTTTGGGGCACTTGCCATCTAAATTCTTGACCTGCCCCCGACCCCTGACCAAGTCTTTTGTATTAATAATGATCTTCTAAGGCACAACTGCCCTGCTCCTGTTTATCTACTTCCCCACGGCCACCTCTATCCAACTCTAGGGTCCCTTTATCTATGTCTATCCTTGGTAAGATAAACTTGATTTTTACCAGTGACACCACTTCCCCTAGAGCCTTCTTCAGGGACAAGAAGGCAGCATTGTCTTTGTTCCAAACTTTGATTTCCCGATTACATGCCATATATTGCTACACTACATGCCATAGAAGTCCCTTCCTTTTGCAGTTGACTTCTTGTCATCCCCATTATCTTGTTACATCCTCCAATTAACTGTCTTTGCAACATTCAACTGCTGGACTCCATCATATCAGCCTTGAACAATTCTTCAGTACAAAGTTAACCCCTTTTCTCAGGCCCTCAAGCTCATCCTCTTTGCCAAATTTCTCCGTTAATCATCTACTCTGTCTACTCTTTCTTACATTTTCAATCTCCTCTTTTCTCCCTGGCTTTCTCCTCTGATTATAAACATGCTGGTCTCTCCTGTCATTAAAAACAAACCAATATCCCACATCAACCTTTCCTAGACCTTGCCAGTATGAGTAGTTAATGTCTTCTTCTTCCCCTTAAAGGCCTAGGTTTTCCAAAGAGTAGTTTACAGCTTTTTATCCATTTTCTCCTCGCACATTTCTCGGTCCTTTGCAGTCCTGTCTCCCTTTCTCTCCTCTCAATTGCTACACTTTTGAAACTGTTCTTTAGAATGTCTTAGCCACCAGATATCATGGCTTCTCCACTCCTCCCCTCCTTAACTTTTCTTTACCAGTTGGTACTCTTCACCTCCCTTCTTGAACTCTACTCAAAATCCAGTGTGCTTTTTTGTTGATTTTCCTTCCTTCCTAATAATTCATTGTCTTGTTTCCTCTTGGACTTCTTACAAAGAGGCATCACCAAGAGTTATTTTTAATCCAAATGACTCTGAAATTTACATCTCCAACCAGACCTAAACCCTTTCCTCTATCCCCCAAGTGATTTTCTTTCCTCTTAAACCCACTCTTCCTAATGACTTTCCTATGTCTGTGATAGGGTTACCCCTCATACACGAAGCCCCCAAGTCATCTAGCCCACTCCTCTCTGCATCAGTCCCCTATTGGAAGAGTTCTATGGAATCATCACAAGTTAAGTCCTCACCCCGTTAAGTCACCTAATCACTATTTGCCTTGGAGACTATAAGAGTGTACCAACTGTTCTCCTAGCTTTCATTCTCTCAGACTTCATAATATTTATTTATTTGAGATGGAGTCTTACTCTGTCACCCAGGCTGGAGTGCAGTGGCAGGATCTTGGCTCATTACAACCTCCACCTCCTGGATTCAAGCAATTCTCTCTGTCTTAGCCTCCCGAGTAGCTGGGATTACAGGCATGTGCCACCACACCTGGCTAATTTTTGTATTTTTAGTAGAGACAGGGTTTCACCATGTTGGCCAGGCTGGTCTGGAACTCCCGACCTCAAGTGATCCACCTGGCTCGGCTTCCCAAAGTGCTGGGATTACAGGGGTGAGCCACCATGCACAGCCTAAGCTTCATAATATTTCTACACTGAGTTGCCTATTTAAAATCTTCCAAAAGTCTGGCTGTGTTCATCCACTCCATTCAAAAGTTTTAGATAACACCGTGCTGGCCACTGAATAGATTCACCACAGGCTTTCTTGTTGTTTTTGGCCTGCCAGACAGGATCATTTTTCATGCCTAGATACCTCCTCTTCTCTCAGGATTTTCCAACCTTGTGCCTTCCTTCACACCGCTTTTTCTCATTACAGTCCCCCCATTCCCTTCTCTGCTTGCCAAAATTTTTATCTTCTAAGTCCTGCTTAAAGTCTGTATTTTCTTTTCTTTGAGACAGAGTCTCGCTCTGTCGCCCAGGCTGGAGTGCGGTGGTGCGATCTCAGCTCACTGCAAACTCTGCCTCCCGGATTCACACCATTCTCCTGCCTCAGCCTCCTGAGTAGCTGGGACTACAGGTGCCCGCCACCTCGCCCGGCTAAATTTTTGAATTTTTAGTAGAGATGGGGTTTCACCATGTTAGCCAGGATGGTCTCGATCTCCTGACCTCGTGATCTGCCCACCTCGGCCTCCCAAAGTGCTAGGATTACAGGCGTGAGCCACCACGCCCGGCTCAAAGTCTGTATTTTCTATGATGCCTCTTTTTGCATCCCAGAAATACTTCTAATAATGCCATTTAAAACTCCATTTTAGCCCCTTATCTTTATTTTATGTCATAGATTGTTATGAAAATATTCTTTGGGGTTGGTTTCATGTCATATATATTATGCCACCCACAGATTCATTTATTCAATATTTACTAATCACATATTACATGCCAGGCACTGTTCTAAGCATGGAGGATGGAATCAATGACCAAAACAAAGATGTCTCTCCTGGAGCTGATTCTTCAGCCCAACCGAACGCTCAGTACAGTGCCTTGGTCTTAAAAGGTGCTTACCAAAAGTTTGTGTGAATGGAGGAAAGGAAAAAAAAAAAGGGGGGGGTAGGCGGGGGGAGGAAATTAAGAGAGATTGGAAGAGAGAAAGGAAGGCCTGCCCCAGAATATCCCTTGTTCCCTGAGATCCCTCAGCTCCAATAGGGTGTATCCCTCCCCTCTTAAATTACACTGAGCTGGAATCCCTGATTTCATCCAGGTCCACACCCATGTCCTTAGAGGTTGTTGGCTCTCTAAGAATCAAGCCAGGGTTTAAGGACCAGAAAATGTGTTCTTGTTTGTGTTGAAAGGGCCCTGGCTAATACAATTAGACACAGTTCTCTTGAGCAGAAAACCTCAACTTTGGTGAGTATAAAGAATGTGACCTACTTTATTTCCTTGGCTTCCCAAACGGCCTTGATTCCCTGCCTCTCCTCCGGGTCCTGGAGGCCCCTGAAACAAAACAAGGGGTTTGCAAATATAGCAAAACATAAAGCAACTTTTCTTCAAACCCTCTGTCTTATAAGAGGAAAGTGAACCACAGACGAGAGAAGAGTTATGGCTGTATCGATCCTTGCTCTGGAAAAAAGTATTGCCACCATCAAATAAAGACTGGTAAATAAAAGAAAATTAATAAAGTAATTCATGCCAGATGTTGTCTAAAGAATTGTGCTTCCTTGTGAGTTTTCTCTTCCAAAGTGATTTCAGGTTGTTTTGCTCTAAGAACAGATGTTGTTAAAATGCCTAACACTTAAAGAAGCCATTCCAAATGACATTTGCCTTGAACTATAATCCTTCTTGTCCTTTGGTAGAAAGGACTGGCTTTGGTAGAAAACATTTTTTGGAAGACAAAATGATCTTTATTGGAAAATCATATGATATGTATATTAGAAAGCTTAAGAAACTTTACTAAAACAGTGTTCATAAGATATGTTTAGGTAGCATAAGATAAATATTCTGAAATAATTTTCTCTTTCCTAGTGATAAGTTAGAAAAGTAAATGTAAATAAATTCCCACTTACCAAAAGAAGAAAAAAACTGTAAAATGCTTAGAATAAATTTATCAAGAAAGATGCAAAACCTAAAGAAAGAAAGCCTTAAGATCTTATTGAAGAACATAGCAAAACTTAAACAGATGATAAATATAACACCTATCTATATGGAAAAGCTATCAGATATAATGGAAGTAAGTCCTTCCAACATTCTAGAAGGCATGTTTCATTGGAACAACTTTAGACTGAACATTTTAAAATACCAATTCAGAGATGACACAACTACCTTCCTCTGTTATTAACACTTGGAATCAGATTTTTCCTTTGGGATATCTAAACATATGGAAAGAGAAATCTCTTTTGGTACAACTGTTTACAGGTATTTGTAAATAATCCCAACCCCAGTGAGCTGAAATCATTTGCACAATTTTTTCGTCATGGTTGTTGTAATTTAAAAGTAAATAAACCAGCCTTTGCGTAATGAGCATGACACTTGCAAATTTATTTCGTTCAGAACAAAAATATTGTAACATTAACATTTTCATCTTTTAAAAAATTTAAAAAGCAATACATTGGACATAAAAAATTTCCTAATAGGAAGGATTGTTGAACAATAAATTGGTTACTAACAAAGATAAGAATCTTTCCATAATACCCTATCTCTCCCCCTTCCTTCATCTTTAAAGAAAATTCTCAATATTGTCACCCTCCATAGATAGCTCTCAACCCATTCCCTTCTAACTTTCACTTCCACCACTACATGGAGCTAACTCCTTTGACTTTCATGTTCAGTCCAGTTGACACTTTTTTGCCCTCACCTTTTTTGAGTTTGATCATGTGTTCTTTGAAACTTTTCCCTTAACTTCTGTCACACCAAGTAACCATGGTCTTCCTGGTCCCTCTCTAGGCTCCTCTCATGAACCTTTGAAGGCTCCCCTTATTCTATTTGCCTCTTAAATTCTGTGTGCCCCAGGGCTCCATCCTCTGGCCTTATTGTTCTCACTTTATCCCCTCTTCCTGAATGGCACCCGTATGAATTCACATATCACTTCTACACAATGACTCCTAAATACATGCTCTCAAGTCCCAACCACTCAACTGAACACCAGAGCCATATATTAAAAGGCTGAGTAACACAGCAAGCCTCTATGCCAAAAAAAAACAAAACAAAACTCAAGACTTAACCAGGCACAGCAGCACACACCTGTAGTGCCAACTACTTGGAAGGCTGAGGCAGGAGGATCACTTGAGCCCAGAAGTTCAAGGCTGCAATTAGCTATAATTGTGTCACTGCACTCCAGCCTGGGTGATAGAGTGAGACTCTGTCTAAAAAAATAAATAAAATTCCCATTGGACATCCTATTGAATAGAAATGGATTCTCAAAACAATCATATTTACCCTAAATCATGCTTCCAGTCTCATTTTCTTTTCATCAAGGAATAGTATCACCCTTTACTACCATTGAGACCCATGCCAGAAACCTGAGAATTATCCTAGACCCTTCCACTACCTCACTTCTCAAAACCCCTCAGCTACAAGGCCCACAGTAGAATCTGTCTACTTTCTGTACCCCTCCCTCTTCCATTCCCATTACTTGCCTTCAGGCCCATCTTGCATCCTGCCTAAATTCTTGGCTCTCCTAACTGTAGCCAGGTCTTCCTCTAATCCATTCTCCACCCTTTTTAGAGAGAGATTTAAAATGTCAGGCTGATGTTACCACTTTGTCTGAAATTCTGAATATCTTTCAGAATAAAGTTTAAGGTCTTCTTAATATGCAAAATCCCTCAAAATGTTGGAATTGCATGCCTCTGCAGCCTCATTTTCTGTGACTACTTCCATCGCTTTATGTTCAGGCACATCAAAGCAAGTGATTCATCAAATGTTTGTCTTACGTCTCCACACTCATGCAAATTTTTCCCTCAGCTGGTCCATTTTTTTCCCTCTAGGGAGAGGTACAATCTCCCTCCTCTGAAAAATCCTACCTTTAGCATCACTGTTTCAGGAAGAATACTCAAACTTCCTAGCTGTGTTGGGTCTCATGCTTGTCCCCCCGATTCCTCTACGCTGTAAGTAATTGTTAGTGTATTTCTCTTTCTCATTCCTTAGAGACTAGACTGTATACTTCTTTAACGGGCACGTCCTATTAATTCATATCTCTGGCGCATCATAGGATACCTAGAACCCATCAACCCATCCATTTATCTACCCAGGAAAGATTCTCAAGAGGGATGAACTACTGTGTTTAATTTGTTGGTTTTCCATATGAAATTTTCATGCACTGCACAGAGAAGTAGAGAGATTCTAATTGTCCTGAAAAGCAATGTATAAATTGGAAGATCTGTCTAGAAGCCTACTCTCCATTCTTCATTCAGACATAAATTCTGAGACAGAGGATGATTTTGGGAGATTATTTCATGTGTAGTTACCTCAAACACACACAAGAACAATGAGAGATTATCCTGTTTTAAGAACTTTCAAAATAAAAAATGTCTTGGATGAGTAGATGGTTGGATACATACAGGACCTTGCCATTAGAGAATCAGAAAACCTGATTGTGTTTCCCATGCAGGATCTTGCAAAGTACCAAAGTGAGGTTTGTGACTTAGATGAATAAGGCTCAAGCCTCAGTGAATGGTTACCCAGATAAATCACCTACTCAAACACTGCTGGTTAGATAAGGAATCACACTGGTGGTTTCTAAAAGAAAGACAAAAAAATTGTCACCCTCAGAAAGATATCAAAGAATGAAAGAGCTTAGTTGACTTGAGATCAAGAATAGCTATGGAGGGTTAAGAGAAGCTTAGGGCATTTAAAGGGGAAGGGCATTAGCTAGAGATCAAATCTTCTTTGGCTTTGATGTAATGGCTGCCTTTTATTGAGCATTCATATTTTGTGCAAGGCACTGTGCTGAGTGGTAAATAGTCTTCTATTTTTACAACACAGTGAGATGCCTGTTATTAACCCCATTTACTGATCAAAAACAGTTTCTCAAGGCATTTACATCCAAATTGCTCAGTTAATAAGAGGATTAGATGGGAAATGAACCTAATTGTATCTGACTCTAAAGACTAAAGTCCCAGCCACTATGCCTGCTGCTCTGAGGCCCTTGTGTGGGACAGGATTCCCAAACTCTTACCATCTATGCATTAGCCCAGATTGGAGTTCTAAAAAAAATGTGGCTCTCCAAACTTGATGCATAAGGCTGGGGCCACATCAAACCTCCAAAAGTGGGACTTGATTGTCCCACTTTTTTTCCTCAGGTTGAGTATTAGTTACAGAGCCCTTGGCAACCACAACTGCTTTAGTGTTAAGCAAGGATAGGAAAGAAGTGTTTAGAGGTTAACGATTATTTGAAAATTGTGCTTAGCACCTTATCAGAAGAGATTGCACTTGGGAGTTTAGGTTTAATGGTTGGGGCATTGCCAAGGACACCTTGACTTTGGATTAGATAAGGCAGGGTAGAAGAGGTACAGGGTGTTCCCACACTTAAAAGGAATCCTTGTCACTTGTTTTTATTTGTGTGGGGGTAATGTATGAAAACTCACAATGAACAAATATCAAGGTGGAAAGAAACAAGGAGATCAAGTGCTGAGCTTCTTTAAAAGTTAGATATCAGCTAAGTCTAAGAAAACAAAAATCAAGAGGCCATCAAATGGTGAGCTAATGCAAGAACAAACCCCAAAACATCTGAGATGTCAATCTTGACAGTACTAGTCCTTAACCTTAACTTCTAATACTTCTCCATGCATTCTACACTCCAACCATATTGAGCCATTTGTGGTTCCCAAAACTCACCTTGATATCTCTGTGTAACTTGGTTCCATCCTCTTTCTGCATGCCTGCCTTTCCTTGGTTACCCGGAAAACACCTGCTCATTCAGCAAAACCAAATACGCTCATCTCATTTAACTCCATTCTTTACCACATCACTCTACATTGAGTATAATTCTCTTTTAACATTCAGCAGGTCACATGTCAATTGTTTGTTTGTATGAGTCTCCTTTATGAGATTGGGTATACGTGAGGCTAGAGTCTATACCTCATTCATCCTTGTATCCTAGAATAGGGCCCAACACACAAGCAGCACTTAGTAAATGTTTGTTAAATGAGTAAAAGGAATGGCTAATGGACCACCAAACTTAGCTTATACAGAATGATGAAACTTGTTGATTACTACAGGTTACGTATTGTTATATTACTATCATGGCCTTTCTTGGAATGGTGACCTGCATTCTTTGAGCACAAAATACTCCCATTAAATTAGGTAATACTGATACAATATAGTAGCAATAACAAACACATAGAGCTTGTGACTGCAGGCAATGTTCTAAGCACCTACATACATTAAATGGTTTAATTTTCACAACAATCCAATGAGGTAGCTACTATTACCATCCTTATAATTACAGTAAAAAACTGAAGCACAAGGTGGTTACATAAATTCCCCAAGGTCACAGAGCTAGTAAGGTACAAAGTTAGGAATCAATGCTAGGCAGTCTGGCTCCAGACCGTATACCATTTACCACTGTGCTATGCTTTGTAAAGACAAAAACAGAAATTCTACTCCGGACTCCAAACTGCATTGAACATCTCCGAACTTTCTTGATATTGTACAAGCCACTAGTGATTCATTCACTAAGAAAGCATAAGTATTTAAAAAATAATTACAGCTTCAATTGAAATTTGTATTTTTGTGTCTGATTTTCCATCCTTTTTTTTTTTTTTTTTTCAGGCATTGATTAAATTAAAATAGGACCTTAAGGTAAACCAAAGGGGGAATGAAGGAAGGTAGAAAAGAATATGCCATTCCTTTCAAAGCTCTTTCTTCCTTTTCATTGTGCCATGGACTGTATTCTTTTGTATCATAGTCATATACTTGGCTGGATTAGCACACATTTGATTTATACAGAATGCCAGTTAAATAAGCCTTCAGAACATTGTCAACAGAAATCACATCTTTTCTTAAACGTATATCCTAAGAAAAACTTCAAATCCTGAAATTACAAAGCACTCATGTTATTCTATTCCAGTGGCTGGTCCTTGTGTGCTGTAAAACAATATGAAACCTATGGCAGGGAATTTATAGAACCGGTGAAGAATAATACTCTCTTGTGTATCTGATTGTGTTCATCTCTGTGGCTTTCTTTTGGACACAACAACTTTGTGACCCCATTCATCCATGTCCTAAACATAAAAAATTGTACACATCTTTGAAATAGCATTTTCACTGTACTGACAAAGGTATTTCAAGAAAACCAAGCACAGAAAGAAAAACCATGTTTTCCAGTCAGAAAAATGGTAGACGTAGACTAGAGAGAAGTGGTACCTTCTGACTAACTCTGACAATGCCAAGAGGCTGAAAGATTTATGGCCATGACCAATCTTGCCAAAGCAAGATTAAAGGGTACTCATTCACAGACGTGCTCTGCACAGCCAGTGGATGCAATTTTGGATTCTAGACCAAGAGAAATACCAAGATTTTGGATTTCCACCCACTCACATCTCCATATTTTATATAAACAGATGAGATAATCACATGATATATGTTTTTCTTGGCATTTCCATCTTTAACAAATTTCAATTTATGGTACCAGCAAGCTTTTATTGATTCAAGGATATGAATGCGAAATAGTTATTTTCATCAAGTTATTTCTACCATGACATTTTAAAGTTTTTATGCTTTTTGAAGAAGCACCTTCATCAAAATTAAAAACAAATATCTTCACAAGCAATAATTAACATGCTTTAAAACAGTATCATGACAGTATTAGGCAGATCATGCAGGCAGGAAATTAACAAAGATACTCAGAACCTGTACTTGAACACTTGATTTAATAGACATATAGAGAACTCTCCATCTCAAAACAACAGAATATTCATTCTTCTCATCGCCACATGGCATATACCATAAAATTGACCACACAATCAGAAATAAAACAATCCTCAGCAAATTAGAAAAAAAACAAAATCATATCAACCACAGTCTTGGACCACACTGAAATAAAAATAAAAACTAGTGCTAAGAAAATCACCCAAAACCATATAATTACATGGAAGTTAAACAACCTGCTCCTGAATGACTTTTGGGTAAATAATGAAATTAAGGCAGACATCAAGAAATTCTTTGAAACTAATAAGAACAAAGATACAACATACCAGAATCTCTGGGACGCAGATAAGGCAGTGTTAAGAGGGAAGTTTATAGCAATAAATGCAAGAGAAAACCAACCCCAAAGCTAGCAGAAGACAAGAAATAACCAAAATCAGAGCTGAACTGAAGGAAACTGAGATACAGAAAATCATACAGAAGATCAACAAATCAAGGAATTTGTTCTTTGCCAAAATAAGATAGACTAGTCAGCTAGACCAATACAAAAAAAGGAGAGAAGATCCAAATAAACACAATGAGAAATGAAAAAGGGGGCATTACCACTGACCCCACAGAAATACAAAAAGACCTCTCAGAGATTACTATGAACACCTCTATGCACACAAACTAGAAGATCCAGAAGTAATAGATAAATTCCTGGACACAAACAACCTCCCAAGAATGAACCACAAAGAAATTGAATCCCTGAACAGACCAATAACAAGCTCCAACGTTGACTCAATAATAAAAAGCCTACCAACCAAAAAACAGCCAGGACCAGAAAGATTCAAAGCCAAATTCTATCAGATGTATAAAGAAGAGCTGATATCATTCCTACTGAAACTATTCCTAAAAGGTGAGGTAGAGGGACTTCTCCCTAACTCATTCTACGAGGCCAGCATCATCCTGATACCAAAACCTGGCAGAGACACAACGAAAAAAGAAAACTTCAGGCTGATATTCTTGTTGAACATAAATGTAAAAATCATCAACAAAATACTAGCAAAGCGAATCCAGTAGCACATCAAAAAGCTAATTCACCACAATCAAGTAGGCCTTATCTCTGGGATGCAAGGTTGGTTCAACATATACAAATCAATAAATGTGATTCGTCATGTAAATAGAACTAAAAACAAAAACTACATGATTATCTCAATAAATGGAGAAAAGGCTTTTGATACAATTCAATATACCTTCATGTTAAAAACCCTCAACAAACCAGGGATTGAGGGAATGTACATCAAAATAATAACAGCTATCTATGACTCACAGCTAATATCATACTGAATAGGCAAAAGCTGGAAGCCTTCCCCTTGAAAACCAGAATACAGGGATGCCCTCTATCACCAATCCCATTCAACATAGTACTGGAAGTCCTGGCTAGAGCAACCAGGCAAGAGAAGGAAATATAAGGCATCCAAATATGAAGAAAGGAAGTCAAACTATCCCTGTTTGCAAATGACAAGATTTTATATCTAAAAAACCCAGTAGTCTCTGCCCAAAAGCTCCTTGATCTGATAAACAACTTTAGCAAAGTTCTAGGATACAAAATTGAAATACAAAAATCAGTAGCATTCCTATACACCAACAACATACAAGCCGAGAGCCAAATCAGGAATGCAATCCCATTCACAATTGCCACAAAAATGTAAAAATAAAAATATCTAGGAATACAGCTAACCAGGAAGGTGAACAATCTCTAAAATGAGAATTACAAAACACTGCTCAAAGAAAGCAGAGATGACACAAATAGGAAAACATTCCATGCTCATGGACAGGAAGAATCAATGTTGTTAAAATGGCCATGCTGCCCAAAGCAGTTTACAGATTGAATGCTATTTCCATCAAACTACCAATGACATTCTTCACAGAAATAGAAAAAAACTATTTTAAAATTATACAGAACCAAAGAAGAATATGAATAGCTAAGACAATCCTAAGCAAAAAGAACAAAGCTGAAGGCATCACCTTATGTGACTTCAAACTATATTACAAGGCCATAGTAACCAAAACAGCATGGTACTGGCATAAAAACAGACTCTAGACCAATGGAACAGAATAGAGAGCCCAGAAATAGAGCCACACACCTACAACTATCTGATCTTTGACAAAGCCAACAAAAACAAGCAATGAGGAAAAGACTCCCTATTCAATAAATGGTACTGGGAGAACTGGCTAGCCATATGCAGAAGATTGAAACTGGGCCCCTTCCTTATACCATATACAAAAATCAACTCAAGATGGATTAAAGACTTAAATGTAAAATCTAGAAGCATAAAAACCCTGGAGGATAACCTAGGAAACACCATTCTGGACATAGGACTTGGCAAGGATTTCATGAGAAAGATGACAAAGGCGATTGCAACACAAACATTGACAGACCCAATTAAGCTAAAGAGCTTCTGCACAGCAAAAGAAATTATCAACAGAGTAAACAGACAACATACAGAATGGGAGAAAATATTTGCAAACTATATATCCAACAAATGTCTGATATCTAGAATCTTAAGGAACTTAAGCAAACTTACAAGCCAAAAACAACCACATTAAAATGTGTGCAAAGGATATGAACAATTTTCAAAAGAAGATATATACATGGCCAGCAGGCATAAGAAAATATGCTCAATCCCACTCCATACAACCCTCCCCTTTCTGATGCCCCCATGCTTGTAACCCACCTCTCACCCTCATGTACATAGACCTCACCAGAGGGGCCTCATTCTCATTTTTTAATCCAGCGGCATCCCCTACGCCCAGGCTGTCAACCCTGTGTTGCGCTACAGGTCAGAGGAGCCCTGCAGTCCTCCCATGAAACCCAGGGAGAGAAGCACAACAAACACTTATATTTTTTGTAGTGTTAAACGCAGTTTTGTATTATTTAAAACTGCTCAAAATCACTGATTAGAGAAATTAAAATCAAAACCACAGTGAGATACAGTCAGAATGGCTATTATTAAAAGTCAAAAAATAACAGATGCTAGTGAGGTTGTAGAGAAAAGAGAACATTTGCACACTCCTGGTGGGACTGTACATTAGTTCAGCCATTGTGGAAAGCAGTGTGGTGATACCTCAAAGAACTGGAAACAGAATCACCATTCAACCCAGCAATCCCATTATTATTTACCCAAAAGAATATAAATCATCCTACCATAAAGACACATGCATGTGTACATTCATTGCAGCACTACTCACAATAGCAAAGACATGGAATCAACCTAAATGCCCAACAACATTAGAATGGACAAAGAAAATGTAGTAAATATATACCATGGAATACTATACAGCCATAAAAAAGAACAAGATCATGTCCTTTGCAGCAACATAGATGAAGCTGGAGGCCTTTATCCTAAGCAAACTACCACAGGAACAGAAAAACAAATACCACATGTTCTCACTTATAAGTGGGAGCCAAACAACAAGAACACATGGACACAAAGAGGGGAACAACAGGCACTGAGGCCTACTTGAAAGTAAAGGATGGGAAAGGATCGGAAAAAAATACTTATTTAGTACTATGCTTATTATCTGGGTGGCAAAATAATATGTATGCCAAACCCCCATGACATGCAGTTTGCCTGCATAACCAACCTGCACGTGTACACCTAGACCTAAAATACAAATTATAATTAAAAAATAGTGTCATGAGATACAAGTTTATGCAAATAGCCTCTTAAATTTTCTTAAACTTTCTGGTGATAAACACAACCACTTACATATTGGACTGCCTGGTTCAACTAACGTACACACGTAATGGAATCCTTTTACCCTAGTGTTAGTGGAGAACACAATTTCCAACTGTGTCTCATTCACTCATTTACTGTTTGATTCATTATTCAAATATGTGTTGAGCTCTACTATGTGCCAGGTACTGATATTCTGGACTCTAGGGATAGAGTGTAATAAGACAAAGTCCTATCTTTTATGGAGCTTGCAATCTAGGAGGAGAGACAGGCAAACAGCTAAACAAATAATACGTACTATGATAGCAGGTAGGTGAGGGCCAGATCATGTAGGGCCGTTCTATTAAAAATGTGGTCTGGATCAGCAGCATCAGCATCATCTGGGAATGCCCTAGAAGTGCAGAATCTCAGGCCTTGCCCTTGACCTGCTGACTCAGAATCCGCACTTTAACAAGTTCTCTAGTTAACAATCCCCTCTAGGGGATTCTTCTGCACTGTGAATCTGGAGGAGTGCTAATGCAGAGCAGTCATTCCCAACCCTAGGTCTATATTAAGATCTCCTAGGGAGAAGTTAAATTACTGCTACCCTGGCCTCATTGCCAGAGATTCTGATTTAAGTGTCCTGGGGAAGGTTCTAGGTGGTGGAATGTTTTAGAATTCCCCCAGGAGATTATCATATTTAGCCAGTTTGAGGACTACTAAAGTAGGCTGTATTCTGGGGGTGGGATGGGGATGGGAAACCCCAAGAGAATTGAGATCAGGGGAGTGATGCGACCTGATTTACATAGCTGAGCAGCTGAGGCAAAGAGGGCTAGATTTTCTACCTCTGTGTCTGATAGTGATAGCCTGCTCTGCAAGATGGGGACCATGATGTGATGTGGCCACCACATTGAGCTGAAGTGAAACCTAATACACGTTCCTGGTTCACAAGCAGTAAATAACTCCACCTGTATGGAAGAAACCACAAAGACATATCAAGCCAAGATCAAAGTCAGATGCAATCATTTTTCTCATTACATACCTGGGGACCTTTACTTCCCACACCTCCTTTTTCTCCTTTCACACCAGCCTCTCCTCTTGGGCCCTAAGTACATAGAATTAAAGCATTATTTTTTGCCTAAAAGAGAACATTGAATATTAAATTGAATATTACAAGTAGAAATACTAAGTCAGTAACATGGACAGAAATGGGAAAGAGAGCTCCAATCATGCCTTTCCTTCCATCCTGGCCTGTGGAGCTCATTCTCATTTGTGCAGGAATATGAATGTCCAATCTGAAATTTAGGCAGTTGAGGATCTGCAGTCAAACTGACTGGGGCTTGGAAAAAAATACTGAATGGTTGAGCTTTTCCATATTGCTTTCTACATTTCCCTACATTTCTCTTGTTAGAAAGAAAAATATTCCTTACAAATATACATCTGAAACCAGAACATTTAAATAAGTTTTCTATTCAATAACCACACTGAAGACTGGTCATAAACAAGATATGGTATGTGGTAAGATGAAATCTGACTATTTCTACTTTTGGAATATTATACTGCCTATTAGCTGTGGCTTTCATATGTTATGCAGAGAAACTTTCATGCTGTGTTTGGTTTTTGCCTCTGCTTTTAAATTACACCATTAAAAAAAGTAAGTTTCTATAAAATGGAAGAAGGGATGCCATAGTATTACTTGCTTAGCATGAAATAAAGCAGTCAATCTATTGAAATGCTTCCCCACAACCCCAGTGGCAACTATTTCTCGCTTGAAGGTTAAAAAAAAAAAAAAAAAAAAAAAGTGAGCTTTCCTCAGCTGGAAAGCAACAACAAAGAAAAGTAATCAAGCTAGGAAGAGATAAAGGTCCAAGGGGAAGACTGTGCACTGCTCTGAATCTTGGCAAAATGTGGACAAACTTTCCCTTCTGATGTTTAAGGATATGTTGCCCAACTTCCAGGCAAAAAGCTGCCAACATATAATAGTTACTTTTTTTAACTATGTGGATTAAAAGTTTGAAAAATAGCAGAGCCGTTGATTGTCCTGCCTATGCCAAATAGAACACTTATTCCTCAAGCTTTCAAAACTAACTTTGGAGAGGAAAAAAAAAAGTTCTAACTTTTTTGTGGTCTGACCTTTCTTTCAACTCAGTATTTGCTAGGATTTCCTTTCCTTTATCATAATATGTTAGCTAAATTTTGCCCTCTCTGGCCCCTCATGTGACCCCTCATGCAACCCCTCATGTGATCAGTGTAAACAGCCAAGTATGGCTTGTTCCTTGCAAAGGAAAAAGTGCCGGAGGTAGCTCCCTGGAGAAGTCAGCTGGCAAGGGCAGGCTGAGTGCTGCACTGCAGATAACCCCACTGATGTCTCCAGCTGTCTTTCGAGCAATTCTTTCCTAAGAGTAAAGCCAATTTTTCTACATCATGAGCACCAAGATATGTAACACTGAACTATTACTGTGCTAAATTGACCACAATTCCCAGATCTGAGGTTCAACATTTTCCTTGGCTCAAGCTCTCCCTGGAATATCTTACTTACCCTGAACCCAGTACACAAGGACCACTGCCTAGTTTGCTCATTCACTTTTCACTTCTTGACTGGGACAAAACTTAAAGCAGACCAAGTGCTGCATGAGTCCAAACTGTGTTGCTTCCTTACTTTATTACCATGAGAACTTTAAACATGGAATTCTGCAAGGGAGATTTGAAGGTTTCTATCAGGTCCTCAGATTTTTCCATTCCCAGATTCTTCTTTATGTTCTCACACCCTGATTGGTCTTGATATGTACCTGAGGGCCCTTAAGTCCCAGGGAGCCTTCAAGTCCATCTGGTCCTGGGATGCCTGCTGTTCCCTGTGGCGAGAAAGAATCAATCTGTTAACACTGTTTCCTGAACATTTTGTCTCCTTTACCTGCAAGCTTACAAATATTTTTTCAGTCACAATGTCAATGCAGGATCTTTGCAAAAAAAAAAAAAAAAAAAAAAAAAAAGGTGAAAAATAAATGCAAATACAAAGAAAATAAAAATCTATAATCTCATCAGAGATAACCATAGCTAGTATGCTGGTGTATTTCCTTTCCATCTTTATATATATGCATGCATGCACACATGCAGCCCCCACCCCTTTCTTATAAAATTTGTATTATATCTAACTTAGCTATGTGGCCTTAAAAACACTCAAAATTTAGTTCACATTTTCTTCAAACATCTTCAAGCATCTTACACGATTATATTAATATTTATATTCAAATCAATTAAATATCTAGGGAACAAAAGTTGAGCATTCTCTTCATATTGTTCTTGAATTCTGTCACAGACAAGAATTATAAAAAGCATAACGAATTCAAGAAGTTTATAATTTAGGCAACTATTAGGAGAGCCTAAGTTTATATTTCAGTTGTTATATAGTTGGATGTGATTAAATGTCACTTACAGATACCTTTTCCTAGAAATCAGAAAAAAATTTTTTAACATCTTCTCTCTCCAATTTCATTTCATTTATATCATGCCATTTTACTAGGTAGGTTCTCCTTTTTGCTGAAGTCTAAACTTGAAATGTGCTGTAGTCTGAATGCATGCATTTCTTCAAAACACGTATGTTGAAACTTAATCCTCCATGCAATAGTATTAACAGGTGGGGCCTTTAGGAGGTGATTAGGTCATGAGGACTCCATCCTCTTGAATGAGATTAGTGCCTTTATAAAGAGGTTCAAGGTAGCTGTCAGCCCCTTCTGCCATGTGTGGATGCAGCAAGAAGGCACCATTTCTAGAGTGAACAGCAAGCCCTCACTAGACACTGAATCTGCTCATGTCTTGATCTTGGACTTCCCAGCCTCTAGAACTATAAGAAATAAAATTCTGTTGTTTATAAATTACCAGTTTAAGGTATTTTGTTACAGAAGCAGAAACAGATAAATAAAAAGTATGTGGGAGGGAGGGATAATGTCTGGATGGTAAGGTCTCTTTGTCTACAAGTGTCTATTTTACATTACACATAGTTTAGCTAGGTATAAAATTCTAAGTTAACGATTATTTTTCCACTGTACCTTCAGGTTATTACTCTGTTATTTTCTGGCATGTATTACTGCTGAACAGAAGTTGCTGCAATCTAATTTTTCATTCTTTTCATGAGTAAAGCTATCTTTTCTCTGTGGTAATTTTTAAGATGCTTTTTATCTTTAACATTCTGGAGTCTCACCATGTTGCCATTGAGAGTGGATTATTTATCCTCATTGTATTTTTAATCTGAGGATGTGTGTTTTATAAAATTATAAGTCACAACCACTCTTTCATAAATATTATAGGTTCATGAAACACATATAATGTATCACCAACATACACAATGAGAATGGGATATGGTTTTTGATTTAACCAACTTTTTGAACAAAATACTCAGAATATCCAATTTGTACAAGAGTTTTATTGTATTCTTTTGGCTTATATGGGGTTTTTTATAATTGTAAGATTCCAAAGTTAAATGAAAATGTAAAAGAAGGGTCATCTACTAAGTTATTCAAGTTTGTACTTAAAATCCAAGCAAAGTTAAATTTAACAATAATTGTGCTAAGTACATCTCTGGCCATTATTTTTTATGGTTTTTGACCAAAGTTCCCACATCATTTTAAAATATGAACTCTTAAAATCTTAACCTAAAATTTTTTCAGCTTTCTATTCCATAACCAATATCATCAAAAAGGGAAGTTTAGAGACTTTACAGAGACTTTATTCCAGCTCCCTGATTGGATGCAGTATTTGTTATTTGGAGTTAAGGGGAAAAATCATTGTACCTGTGGGCCTGTATGTCCCCTTCTGCCATGAGCTGCCTAAAATAGAAGAAAAGGTGGATATCATTAATTCAGAAAAAATGCTTTTTATATATGATTTAAATTCATAATGGACACTTTAAGGCACCAACATACATAACAATTCCCACATAGTGCTTACAACATTCAATTTTCCACTGTACCATGAAAGCAAAATACTGCTAAATCTAAATTTCTATCCTAGGGCAATTGAATATTTGTCTCCTTGAAATAACTGACAATAGAAATAATAGACAATTGAAATCTACAGATACTTATGAGAACAGACTGTGGTCAATAATTTGTTCTCTGTTAAACTTTTACTAGAGCTGTTCACAAGCTGCAAATTGACTTATTTGAATTTTATTTCTTTTATTTTTCCTTAAGCACTACCAAGGAATCCAGGAATCAGGGGTAAACTAGCCAAAAGGCAGGAGGCCAGAGGAAAAACTGGGAAAACTGACTCCATGTACTTTATAATAGATTAAGTTCAGACATAAAGATGGCCAAACTAATTTTATTTTTAAAAAGCCAAATAATATGCTTACCTGAGAAAAATGAAAGAATTATCTCAAACATTCAAAAGCTACTCAATCCAGTATATTAATATTCAATCAAAATGATACTACATAATCGAGTTTTCCTGCCACTGTCATATGTAAGTGTAGGGTCTAGATATATTCTAGATCAATATTTCATACACCTGGAAATCAAGAGACCATGACATTTTGTTGTCTAACCTAGGATCATTCAGTAATGTTATAGTAAAAGTAAAACCCAGCATTTGCAAAATTCAATAAAATCGGAATTGTCTTGATTGAAATTTGAGATGTTCTCTGAGAGGCCAGTATTTCAAACTTTAAATTCTGCTAATCATATTTCAGTCAAAATCTATTTGATATAGTTTGGCTGTGTCCCCACCCAAATCTCATCTTGAATTGTAGCTCCCATAATTCCCACATGTTGTGGGAGGGACCCAGTGGGAGATAAGTGAATCATGGGGGTGGTTTCCCTCATACTGTTCTCATGGAAGTGAATAAGTCTCATGAGATCTGATAATTTTATAAGGGGTTTCCCCTTTCACTTGGCTCTCATTCTGTCTTGCCTGCCACCATGTAAGACATGCCTTTCACCTTTTACCATGATTGTGGGGCCTCCCCAGCCACATGGAACTGTGAGTCCATTAAACCTCTTTTTCTTTATAAATTACCCAGTCTCAGGTATTGTCTTTCTCAGAAGCGTGAAAATGGACCAATACACTATTGTTATAAAAGAAACAGACTGTATTTCGGGGAAATGATTAGAAGTCTTTATTTTATTTTTACAAAACTGATGAATCATCATGAGATGAAACCCTAAATCTTCTATCAGAGGGAGGAAAATAAGCTGTTTCCATTCCTTCAGCACATGGGTTTGTCTGTTCTGATTCAATTCACTTCTCTTTTATTCAGAAAAATATCAGTAGATATTTCCATTTGACAAATAGCAATAGATATTTTCATTTGAAAAATATACTACCCACGAAACACACTAGATGGGAAACATGGCAGCATAAAGATCTCACACACACACACACACAGTCCTGACCTCAGGGGACCCTCATTCTTTGGGTTTGGGAGGAGGAGATAAATATTACAAATATTTACAAGGCAAAGTATTGCAAATGCCATAAAAAAGGGGAAAGATAGAAATACAAGTTTTAAAGAAAGCAATCATATCCAGTTGGTCAAATCAGGAAAATCTTCCTGGAAGAAGAGATTTTTGAGATGGGTGTTTCAGAGGATGGGTAGCAGTCCTACAGGCAGAGGATGTATCAAGTCTTTCCAGCAGAGGTACAGCCTAAGCTATGAAGTAGAAACAGAAAAACAGGAAGCATATTTGGTAGCAGCAGTAAGGCCATCTGTGTCAAAAGTGTGAGAAGAAAGGGAAGTAGCAGGGTTACTAGGCTGAAAGGTCCCCACAACATTTAGCAGAAGCCACTAGGGTTTTTGGAGCTGGAAAAGTACATGGTCAGACCCCAGCTTTAGGTGGATACATCTGGTTGTGGTAACAGGAACTGAATGGAACTTTATATTCAAGCAAAATAAAGAGCTTCCAGTATGTTTAACGGAAGTGGAACAGACCTCCATTTTCAAAAATCTACCTCTGGCTTGCTGTCGCAATGTTTCAAACATCATCAACAAACATTTTTTCCCCTTTTGTCTTTAAGGTTTGATTTTGAAAGGGCTTGCTGAAAATAAATTATTGTAACACATATTTATTGAGTTCCTGTTCCCTTCCAGGAACTGGGCTGGGTGGTGGTGAACAAAATCTGACTCCTGACCCTAGTTAGTTTATAAGCCTAATGGATGAGAAAGACTTTAATCCACCATTCACACAAATAATGAAAATATCTCTAGAAACGATCGCATAGCACCTTTGTTAATGGTTACATGGAATTTTTTTTTTTTTTTTTTTGAGACGGAGTCTCGCTCTGTCGCCCAGACTGGAGTGCAGTGGCGCGATTTCGGCTCACTGCAAGCTCCGCTTCCCGGGTTCACGCCATTCTCCTGCCTCAGCCTCCCGAGTAGCTGGGACTACAGGCGCCCGCCACCACGCCCGGCTAATTTTTTTTGTATTTTTAGTAGAGACGGGGTTTCACTGTGTTAGCCAGGATGGTCTCGATCTCCTGACCTCATGATCCGCCCGCCTGAGCCTCCCAAAGTGCTGGGATTACAGGCGTGAGCCACCACGCCCGGCCCAGTTACTTGGGATTTAAGCTCCAAATGAAAGTCATGGGAGAGATATATTGGGTTGCTGTGAGAGACAGAAAACAAGGAAATATGGAAGATGATTTTGCAATTTTGCCTAAAATTTTCAAGTGTTTTATATGAGAAAGATGAAATTCCAAAATATCTTAATGGTTTACCCAACGACTTGCAAATGTCTGATAACACATCTAGATAACCTGACTTATCTTTAAACAGACTGTGAATGGGCACGTCAGGAAAGAAAATCTCCCCAAAGCGACCTGAGAAGAAGATGGCCAAGAACAGGGTACTCAGTCCTTCATTCCCCCAAAGCCTGGCTTTCTGGTTGTTTACAGGGCCCAATTTCCTAGATATAGAACCATCAGGATGGAGAATTATCAAGAAAAAAGCAGGACATTCTGAATGGTAAAACATCACATTAATACTAAGTCTTAATGGCAAGCATTTACAATGATGAACAATTGTCCGACACCACTTCAGAATGCCTGTAAATGAGTGCCAAGAGGGATGAAAAGGGCAAGTCATAACTAACAGCCCTCTAGACTAACTAGGAATGAAGGATATGCATTAATTTGAGGCTACAGTTGCTTCTCATTATCCTTGGCACAAGAATCTGTTCTAATTCTCAGGTTTGGCTCAGAGACGCTCCCCCTTTCTTCCTCATCTCCCCCACAGAACTACCACATTCTAACCCAGATTCTTCCTTCTTGTCCATCCTTCCTGCCTTTTCCCCCAATTCATTATAGTCTGCTAGCATAGCACTGGTAACAGCTTATTAGCTCTACAGGTCCATCCCCTCTACAAAGTGATTCTCAGCAGGAAAGGGGGGATTTAGTACCCTCCCTTTCCCCAGAAAACACTTAGCAATATCTGGAGACATTTTTCATTGTTACAGGTCAGGGGTGTTACTGGCAGCTAATGGGCGGAGGCCTAGCCCCCCACAGCAAAGAATTGTTTAACCCAAATGCCAATAATGCTGAGGCTGAGAAACCACACTCTACAACATGATTCTAAGTTCCTTGACAGGAAAGATGGTCTTAGTTAAGCTTGTAGTTGAGTTTATTTCTAGTATTTAGTAGTGTTGCTGGTGGACTGTAGGTGTTCAAATGAGTAAAGGTCAGATTTGCTGTTTATTTCCCCGCATGCCACTCCTACCACTGGCCATCCTCCAATCACTTACCCGCTTAGTGGAACCTAAGTGCACTGACAAGTCCTCCATGCTCATTGTAACATTCATTTTAGAGTTCTGCAGTGAACACTAGATTTTTCTACTTTCTCAAAGAATGACTTTACTGTTATGAGAATGATGCATGCTGATTTAAAAAATATTTGAATACAGAGAATACAGAAAAAAATTTTTAAATCACCCAACTCCTCCATCTAGAAATATTATGTTAATCATGATTCCTGACATCTTCTATACTCATTCTTACAGATAAAATTCTAAATAGTGTTTTATTAAAAAGCAACCATATTAAACTTTTTTAAAATTAAAATATTACATCTAATTTTACTTGAAGAAAAAACAAAGAATAGAAATGTCAGGTGTTAACATGTCTTACATCTCTACTGTTTTCCCTTCCATTTCTCCTCAAGCCCTGCCAACTTGCTTTCTTCACTTTCTATTGTCTGTGTTTCAAACTTTAAGAGCAATAATGTTATCTTCACTTCTTTGAGACCCTGGAGAACTATTTGCCAGAATTCATATTTTTCCTTGAATAATTCCTCTTCTAATGAGGCTTTATCTGCCCTTTGCCCATGGTTTTCTTTCTCTTGCAGCTTTACGTCCTGATTAATCATCTAATTAATAAAGATTATTAATGTTCCTGACCATTCACCATCTTTGAATAGGACCACTTGTTTATTGAAGAAATTATGGGGATGTGTGCCTGGAACAGGGCTGGTGGCTTTGACACAGATATGTTGCCTCAAACACTTTCTCATCAAACGAATGATTTCTTTTTCCTTAGAGCTACATCTTCCTTCTACTACTGATGTTTAGAGATTCATGGCACTCATATGAAGCCCCTTAAGTCATAGTTTCCCTGTGTTGTGATAGACACTGTTACTTCTCTCCTCATTGTTTGCAGCCTCCATGGCCTTGGTTGCTAGTTGTACATAATAAAAGTGGAATATTTTCCAGTTTCTCATTTTGCCTCCTCTGTTGAACTATGGCCCTATGTGTATATTCCCTGCTCCACTCAAAATCTACCATGTCCCTGGATTTTGCTCACCAGTTTTTTCAGGACTATGGCAGTTAGTTTTGAAGAAATCTGATCCCTGCATGAGGTCACACTTGATGTATCAGCTTTCTAAATCCTTACTCATTAGGGTTGAGATTTAAAAACAGTTGGCCGGCATTTGTCATTACTTGCAGCTTGAAGCTGTGGTTATTCTCTGTTTCGCCATTTTTAATTTCTTTTGTTGCTTTTGGTGAGATGCACGTAAGAGGAATAGTGTGAAAACAGCTTTACTCTGCCATTTCAACTGAAGTCCCACTTTTACTCCTGAATGACATGGCTGAAGCTATAACCCAAGATGGGGGTCATATTTCATGGGAGTGGTGTGGTTTAAATAATGCATAGCAATATTGCATTAGCCCCTGGAGGCTATAAAACAGTGAAAGTACATCCTTACATGCCAGGATTTCCTGGATGATATTCTTTAAGTTGAAAATATTTTCCAGGGGTATATAAGCTGACTACACCCTTTTAGAAAGTGAAATGAATAGCAAATGCATTTCTTTATAAGCGTTGAAACTGCATTAGTAAAGCACTTTTCCAGCAATCAAATTCTGCATATTTTAAACGATCTCTTTTCATTTTCTCTGCCTTGCAAAGAACACGGGTATGCTCCAAGATAAAAAAAATATTTTTCGATGGAGTGTAATAGCTGGCTCTATAAACTTCTGCTCAGAAAAGACAATGTGTAATAAATGCAATATACTAAAGTAGTTTCTACTTGTGCTTAATTTTAAAACATTTTTCTATTTGGGAGGGGGTGGGGGAAATTGAAGGCTGGATAACTACATAAAGAATGGAAAGAAAACCTAGCAAAATGAAACGAGACAGCCTAATTTAGACACTGATGTAGGCATCTAAGTATATTTTATTAAAGTTATCTCTTCTTATTGAATATTTTATCATCTCTGTGCTTTTCTGCACACAAATTTTTTAAAGTACTTAATGAAAAAATAACAAATAAAATAAAAAACAAACCAAAACTGCACCCCCAACAAGCAAGTGATCCAATTTCACTCTCAGATATGCCTATACCAGGACTGACTTCTTTTCTTTCCCCCTTTTTTTTTCCTGTTTTAAATTTTTATTTTTATTTTAAGTTCCAGGATACAAGTGCAGAACATGTAGGTTTGTTACATAAGTGTATGTGTGCCATGTTTGCTGCACCTATCAACTGTTCATCTAGGTTTTATGCCCCACATGCATTAGCTATTTGTCCTAATGTTCTCCCTCCCCTTGCCCCACCAACCCCCGACTGGCCCTGGTGTGTGTTGTTCCCCTGTGTCCATGTGTTCTCAATGTTCAACTCCCACTTGTGAGTGAAAACATGCGGTGTTTGGTTTTCCATTCCTGTGTTAGTTTCCTGAGGATGATGGCTCCAGCTTCATCCATATCCCTGCAAAGGACATGATCTCATGCCTTTTTATGGCTGCATAGTATTCCATGGTGTATATGTACAACATTTTCTTTATTCAGTCTATCATTGATGCGCATTTGGGTTGGTGCCATGTCTTTGCTATTGTAAATAGTGCTGCAATAAACATACGTGTACATGTGTTTTTCTAGTAGAATGATTTATATTCCTTTTGGTATATGCCCAGTAATGGGATTGCTGGGTCAAATGGTATTTCTGGTTCTAGATCCTTGAGGAATTGTCATACTGTCTTCCACAATGGTTGAACTAATTTACATTCCCACCAACAGTGTAAAAGTATTCCTATTTCTCCACATCCTCACAAGCATCTATTGTTTCTTGACTTTAATAATCACCATTCTTACTTTTCTTAATAGTCATACAATTTGGCAAAGAAAGAATAGAATTTGGATTTAAAACGCTATCACAGGTGATCTCAACCTAGCTAGTAGGCCACACTTTGACCACTTTTCCCCTAGTTGGAGGTTTTTTTGGTTTTCTTTGCCCAGCTCTCTCTCCTGACTGGCGATCTGCTCTGCAGTCAGCACTTTCCTACCTCAGCTTCCAGGGCTTTCCCAAGTCCTTTGCCAGCCCTGGTCTGCGAGATGTCATAAGTTAGTTTCCTCAAGGTAGTGAGCTCCAGCAGAACCATCCCACCCACTCCCCCAAAGTCAGCCATTTTCACCACAACATGAGCCACCAAAACAGTGGGTCTCCTTGTCTAGAAGGGCTCTTACTGTCTTTCTTCTGGAGCCTGGTGTCCCGGGGGGGCCTGGCCAGCCTCTTCTGCCCTGTCAAAGGAACAGACAGATGTGTGACGGTAATTATGCAGCATTGACAGAGTTTCTCTTTAACATCAACTTTTACTCCAGGGAGGATAGATAGGTTCACACACCAATGAGAGAGTTACCTTTCCTTTGGAAAATGGCATGAACTCTACTGATCATAAGTCACATTTCTATATAAGTCATGAGGAATTGCAGGAAAAAATGCTAATGACATGGCTTCATCTGTTCATCATTCATCACTACTGTCTAAGTTGTATTTGGGGTACATGTCTCAGATAATTCAAACTATCCCTACTACGTTGCCACAGTGTGGATAACTAAAGCATACTATGTGTCAGGTATGGCTACTACTGGTTTGGATTTCTACTTTTGAATTGCTTGATCCTTTTGGCTAATCAAACAGATTATTACCTTACTGTAAATAAAGTCTCATAATAAAAAGACTTGTATGATCACTAGATGATCACTTGAGATGATCATTAGATACAAAAGTATGCAATAATTTATGAGTCTTCTATGGGACTTACATTTACCACTTACTAATAATGGCAGATAATATTTACTGAAGGTTATAATGTCATTAAATTAAATATCATTAATTCCCATCATGACCTTCTAAAATAGGCTATTCACCCTATTTTACAGATAAGAAAATTGGGGTTTACAGAAAGTATCCCAGGATCCAGAGCTGGTAAGCAACGGAGCATGAGATAGGACCCAGTGCTGTCTCCAAAGCACAGTTCTTTCCACTTTATCGTACTTCTTTCCTAGGTACAGTCATCAAGGGAACATTATCCAAGAAAATCCAGTAACGCATTTTTTAGACAACTATTTTTAAATACTGAAAACAGGTTTTGATGACCACATTGTGACTTATGAGATTAAGCCCAAGAACTTTTCTTGATTGTGTGGACCACGTCTATCTACCAGATCTTGTTCTTTTTATAATGTACTACTAATATGTCTTTTTAGGGTATGTTACCTCCAGATACTGGAAAGGCCAACAGCTCTTTTGCTAGCACAGTTCTTTCTATCAGCTAGCCCTATATTTTAAGTTAGAGTTCCAATGTTTATATTCATGAAGACCTCGAGGATGTGTCTTGGTGAATCAAGTCACCCCAAATTTAGAGGAGGAAGGCAAGAATGTTTCTCAAATCCCAGAGTAGTACATAGGCAGGAGAAAAGATCATTTTGCTCCTAATAATGGTTTTTCTGTACCAAGTATATCCACTTTGATTCCAGTTTTTTTGTTAAGCATTTCACATTCTACCAACAAGAACTTAAGCCCCACAGTTGTTGCATCACGATTTTACAAGCCCACGTAATTACTTGTCTTCCACGTTCTCCTTTCAAGCCTGTGGGTCCTTCTATGCTACTGTCAACTCCAGGAGCTCCCTAAAAATAGAAAATAAAGAGAAAAATTAATATATTTGGACATTTCTCCTTAAACATATAACTTATGTATAACACTTAGCTAACTCTCGAGAAGTTGACAATTCCAACCCATTTGAAAGCAGAAATAGGTTAAAATTACAGATGGCTTACAAGTATTTTCTTTTCCTCCTGTGTTTGACATTATCAGAGAGAGAACGGAGACCTAAGGCATGTGTGTGGGGAGAAAGAGCTCTCCATAGAAGGCACAGCCAAGGCAAGCCAGGGTGATGTGAATTATGTGCATGGCAACTCTTACCCTGGGTCTGGAGGAAATCCCTCTTGTTACTGCCACCCCTTCTCTTAACTTTTCCTCTTTTTTCTTGGAGGCTAGGCAAAGTTACACTTGAGAGTTGGTAGATTTTATTCTACCATACCCTTGGGAAAAGACAAAATTTGTAATGGGTTCCACTCTGATAATGTAATAAGCACACTAAGTGACACTGAAGATTCTACCTGCCACCAGCTCCCTCTTTCTCTTCCTGGACACCTGGGCACTCCCATATGCTACACCCATATGTTCACCCCTACTTTTCCAGTTTCCAAAAAATCCTGAAATTTTGAATTTTCCCCACTATTCATGCAACTATTTCCCGGGAACTCACTGACAACAAGCATACGTTGTGGGATATTCTCTTTAGCAGGCCAAACCAAAGTCTTTCTTGCTTGAGTCGTATGAACCACAAACAGAGCTGTGTCTCCATGATGTTGAGACAATCAGTTGAGCTAGTCAATTCAGTCAATGCTCCAATAAACTGAGAGAGGACAACAATTATCCAGTCCTGCTGAGTGCCAGCTATGGGGCTGCTGGGCTGATAGCAGCTCAGATTTCCTTCATCAATCAATAAGTAATTTGCGGTCACCAGCAGGGACATATCATTGTTCCAGATACTTAGTAAGCTTTTTAAACAAATGGTTTTGTACTTACAGAGCTTATAAGTTAATGGGATGAAAAAGATGGGTTTGGAATTTACTTTATAACACTGATATTACTAAAATGTAGGTGAAAAATTGCTTCTTTCCTCCACCTACCAAAGCCAAATATCATTTTCTGTATCTTCTTTTTCTTCCTTAAGTTTAAATATTTGTCTCTTACGTTCTCCAAGCAGGGTATACCTCAATTACAATATCAGAAAATTGTATTTTGGTGGAAAAAGCAGGGAAGGAAAAGGAAGGTCACGTAAAGTCCAGAATTTTATTTCACTGGACATAAAAGCCCCTTATTGTAGTTCAATTCTAAACTACTTGAAGAGATAACATAAAAAGAATCATATACCAGCACATTTTACAGAACAGAACAACCCAAATTGCATACAGACAGTTGGTCAATGTGAATCTGAACCGATTTAGTCTTTCTATACGTATACAACTGGGTAAAAAAGCATTATCTTCCACAAATTTACAATTAAACATGGGCTTATAATAATATATTGTCAAAATGAACCTTACTATAGCCTCTATAGATCAAATAATTTAACTGTTTTCCCCCAATATTTCTTTTTTTAAAAATTTTATCATTATTATACTTTAAGTTTTAGGGTACATGTGCACAACGTGCAGGTTTGTTACATATGTATACATGTGCCATGTTGGTGTGTTGCACCCATTAAACAAACACTTCCAGTCAGTATGGGAAATTCCAAACAGCTCGTCAAGATGGGAAATTCCAAACAGCCAAATGCACTTCCATGTGATCATAAATCCTATCTGAATAAACTTAGGGTTTCAAAAATTAGCATCATTTACATGCTTTCCTAAGAATAAACTGATCATGTGTGTTCTATTTATTTATCCCCAATTTTTCCTGAAATAGTAATGCACTGAAGCCACATGTAAAAAAACAGAGTTGTTTTACAGTTGGAAGTCATAGAGCATTTCTTTTAAAATAGAAAGCTCTTTACATTATTCAGACTCTTTAAAATATGTTACACAATCACACGATCTTTAGCAGACAATTTAGGAGAAATTCTGATCAAAATCAGTGGAGGTTATATAGCAATGCCCCAAATGAATTTTTGGTCATCATATATGGATAACTGAAACGTCTTTGTATTTGAACTAATATTTCTAAGTTGTGCTTATATGTGGATAGTTCTTTGGTTCTAAATTAGATTCTTTGAAGTTGAAAATTCTCAGGACACCATTATCAGAAGATGTCACTTAGTCAACAATGTTTTCCTCATGCGCAAATTCCTCTGTTTTTAAATACAGTTGCCTAACATTTACATGTTCATATATATTGCATCAAATTCCTTCTCTGATCAACCCATTGTATACAAGAGGTTATATTAAAGAAAACAAAAATCCTCATGAGATTCCCAGGTGTCCCACATCCTTATCAGCACTTGGTATTGCTTTTTATAAATTGTAACCATTCTGATGAGTGTGTAATACCGTTCTCATACATTGCTAGTGGGAGTATAAATAAATACAAACTTTTGAAAACCATTTGACTGTAAAGACAATCTGAGTATGGCCATACACATTATAATCCAGAAATTCTACTCTTAAAATATAGACCCAATATAAATATGTAAAAAAGTGCATCAAAAGACATATATAAGAATATTCATAGCAGCACTACTTATAAAAGCAAAAACTGGGAGCAACCCACCTATCATTAGTATAACAAATAAATCATGGTATATTCACACAATGAAATACTATGCAATGCAGCCACGAAATTGAATGAACTATTGTTATACACAACATTGATTCATCTTACAAGTATAAAGCAAAAGAAGCCAGAAAAAAAGAGCAGACACTTATATGGTTCCATTTATATCAAGTTCTAGAACACATAAAACTAATTAATAGTGACAGGATAGTGATTACCTTGGGGGAAGGTGAGTAGTGGCTGCAGTGGGCATGAGGGGGCTTCTGAGATGCTGGTAATGTTCTATTTCTTTACCTGGTGGTGACTACACAGGTGTATTCACATTCATTAAGCTGTGTATTTATAACTCAGGGACTTTTCTGATGTATGTTACAGTTCAATAAACATTTTAAAACAAAGCTAAATCTTAATTCATTAAGGTTTTGGAGACTTACTTAAGTGTGGGTATGGTGATGAAAATCCTATAGTACTGATGTTCTATCGGACTTGGCATATTCCCTATATATTGGTATCTTTTTTTTTTTCTTTAACATGGGTCCTGCCTACTCAGCTGGGTTGTGCTCCTGCAAGGGCAGTGCCTTTATGTCATAAGTTTTGCCTAATATAATTCTACTTGGCCTGGGTTACAGGAAATGAGACTGATATTCTTGAGAAAAATTCTTGGAGAACTGATAGTGGTTTGGCTGTGTCTCCTCCCATATCTCATCTTGAATTGTAATAATCCCACATATCAACAGTGGGGCCAGGTGGAAATAATTGAATCATGGGGGTGGTTTCCCCCATACTGTTCTTGTGGTAGTGAGTAAGTCTCATGGGATCTGATGGTTTTATAAATGGAAGTTCCCCTGCACAAGCTCTCTTGCCTGCTGCCATATAAGACGTCCTTTTGCTCTTTCTTCATGATTGTGAGGGCACCTCAGCCATGTGGAACTATGAGTCAGTTAAACCTCTTTCCTCTATAAATTACCCAGACTCAGGTATGTCTTTATTAGCAATGTGAGAACAGACTAACACAAGAACAGAAAAAAAAGACATGGCTTTCTTTCTGTCATTGTGTTTGTATTTTGAGGTGCTTGGAAGATAATGAAGTGGACCAGAATTTCTTCATTGTTTTGAAGCACAAAAACAATTCTGAGTATGTATTTACAAAATTGCATTTGCAAAAGACATGTAAGGGCTTTTTACTGCTCATACTCATTCAGTATATGAAGAGGATCTAGCACAGGTACCTGAATTTAAAATGTTACAATCATGCCTGTGGTGTTTTAAACTCAGGGTTACTATTGTAGTACCTTGAAATCGAGACTCCCTATCAGAAGTACGGATGGGAATCAAGCCCTAACTCCAGTTTGCAGCCCGTGCACTTACGGGATCCCCTCGCAGGCCCTTTGCTCCACGGTCACCAGGAGTCCCTCTCTTCCCTGGGCTTCCCTAAAGTTAATACAAATCAGAAGAAAAACAAGACAAGAAGTTTTAATAAAATTAATAAAAACAGAGCTTTTCTTCTCCCTGGTGTGAATAATTAAATATTTTTCTACAAAGGCTATTTTTAAGCTGGAAAGATGAACAACCGAAAAAATTAGTTTCAAGCACCATATAAATAATTTAATAGTGAACTCAATTATTTGCCACAGTGGTGAACTCTGTGTTCCAGACACACTTGTCATCTTGTTTTTTACAAATATTCTATGAACCAGGTATTCCTTATTATCTTTCTTTTATAAGGCAACTGAGATTCAGAAAGAATATGCACTTTGCCCAAGATGGTTGTTTCTGACTCAATTGTTCACACTCTAAAGACAAAGTAGAGGATGAAAATATGGCTGCTGTTGGTATTTATTCTAGGTGGGCATGAGGGACATTCACTCTTCAATGTGCTGCCTGGCACCACTGACCCTTGTCAACACCCCACTTCTATTCTTACTATGGTAGTTGCTTGTCATTGATGGCCCCAGTTCTTCACCTCTCCCTATTCCTGTGTCCTTTGCCATGTAACTCTACAATGACTTCCAACTGTGGTGGGCAAGATTCCCTTCCTCTGAGTTTGGCAATATGCATTGATTTGGCCAACAGAAAGAGATGCAAGTGTTGAGAGAGTTCTGACCCTAGGTCTGAAGAAGACCTGAGAGTTCTAGTATGTTTCCACTTGCTTTCTTGTGCTTCTGCCATGGGCATAAAAAGGTCATGGCTAGCATGGTTAGGCTAGCTCCTGGTCCCAGGAGGGTAAGTGACAGATGGAGTAAAGCCCCCGGCCACCTTACAGACATGAGCCATGTCCAGCCTCAATCGGCTGAACCCCTCAGAAACATAAGAAATAAATGTTCATCGTTGTATGTGATTGAGGTTTTATGACTGTCACAAAACAGTTTTGTAGCAATAGCTGACTGAGTATTCTACTCTGTTAATCACACCCTTAATCCCCAGTACAATTTTTATGTTCTTCCTTTTCAAATCCCTACCTGAGATCCCTCATCTCCCTTTTCTCCTTTTCTTCCAGGAAGACCATTATCACCCTAAAAAACAAGAAGGGAAAGCTATTAATAGAATTCTCGTTTTCATAATGGTAAATAGCTCAGAAGGGTCTCTATGGTACAAGAAGGCTCTACCTGTTCTCCGTTTAATCCGTCAATTCCATTTTCCCCAACTTCTCCCTGAAAAGATAGATATGATTAGAACAGAGTACATCACGTGCATGTGTAAAGAAGTCAGATGCCAAACAAAAACTCTATTTTTGTGTTTCACATACAGCCTCCTTGTGAGGCTGGGCCTGGGTTATTAATATTAAAGGTTACTCAGTAATAGAAACTATCAACAAATAATATGTATTGCCTATAATGAAAGAGAAGAAGAAACAAAATGAAATGGCTGGCAATAAAAAAGGAAAGTCAATGACAACTTTATTTGTATAATTTACTGATAAATAATCTCAAAAATAAAAATATTTCTAGATAACATATGGGTAGGTAAATGGATGTGCCTGGTAACATACCTCCTGTCCATTTAGTCCTCTGTTTCCCTGAAAATAAAAGGACAGTTATAGTTAGTGTAGGAAAATGTAATTAATATTGAGAAAACTCCACACTCTTATGCAATCCTTACCTTAGGACCTTTGGTGCCATAGCATCCCTTAGTACCTTGCTCTCCCACTGGTCCAGGGGCTCCTCTTTCTCCCTGAGAAAGGGCACATATCCAAATGAGCTTTTTCTATTGTAATCTGAGATCTGTCTTGAAAACTTGACAAGTTTTTTGTTACCAAAAAAAGTGTGAATGCTCATGGTTCACAATCCAGAGTTCTTGCTTATAAAAACTAAGAGTAGAAATAAATCAGAGATACCCTGATGATAGACAGCCCTTTGCTTTGGATCCCACTTGCATACTGCCTGTGTGAGACTTCTCTCTCACCAAGTGGTCACCAAGTTACGTCCTTCCAACCTTCTTAACATATCTAGTCATACTGTCCTAAGCACAAATTAGGACCTGTCTTGCATCTATGACTGCAAGACTTACCTATAAACCTTCACCTTATCATCATCTGTAATGTTGCTTGAGCATGCTTTCTAAACACTCCCATAATTTTGACCCCTGTGCTTCCCACCATTCAGTGACTGCCCACCAACTAGAAGACACAATCCAAATCTTCAGCAGGGGATTCAAGACTCCCAATAACCTGAGTCTTACTTGCCACATATATCTTCCTCCTGCAGTGACCTGGGTTCCATCCATGTTAACCATGTGCCATCTTATGAACATGATCTTCTCTGACTCAGATACATGCCCTTGAACATACTTTTCCCCCAAACTTTGCCTGTAGAAATTCCTATTCATCCTTCAAATGTCTGCCCAAGTACTACTCCTTGTTCGCAGCGTTCCCCTCTCAAGCCCCAACTTTAGCTAAGGCTGTTAGGTAACTGAGTTGTTCTGCCACACTCCTTTGCATGTCTCTATACTTCTAGTCTAGCCCTTGTGTAAAACAACCAGAATCACTGTTGTCTCATTTGCATTTCTACTAGTTTGAAAGTTTCCTGGAGGTAGAAACCATATTTTTCCTTTTATTTTTCTTATTGCTGAAGCCTACAAATATTTGTTAAGTATCTGATAATCTGCCAGGCACACATATATGTAACATATATTTGTTGAATGAACCAATGAATGAGTATGTTAAAGTGTGAGGTCTTTGATAAAATAATGTAGGAAATGGTAAGATGTTTATATATAATTGGTAAACAAATGTTTGGATGGATTGATGGGAGGAAGGAAGGATGAATGAATGCAAGAAAGAGTGGGGTCCTTGATACACAATGTGGTGAGTTGGTTTACCTTTACAGAATGCTCCAGAATGGGGGAAACAGCAGTGATTCAACTCCCCTAGTGAAGGAGGTTACTTCCGCATTGAATTCATTGTGCAATGTTGGTGGGTAGTCAAAGAAGAGACAATAGGTCAATAAACCACTAATGACCACCAGAAGCAAAGCACAATGAGGACAAAAGAAGATCTGAGATTCTGTACACGAATCCTTAGAATCTCACCTTTCTTGCTTCCCCCTGAATTGACTCAAGGAAATTCATATTGTAGATGTTTTTAGGGATAAATGGAGGTAAAAAAGAGCCCTGACTTACAGCGATTCCCTCCTCTCCCAGGTAGCCTTCACTGCCTTTAAAACCTGGAGGTCCCTGGAAATAAGAAAAGGAAGAAAACATTTGCATCTATGGACCAAAAATCAGAGGTAACCAAACCAAATTCAGTTTTACAGTTTTACTTCATGTGGAATAGTAAGTGTTTGAAAAAAATGGTCCTTCCTTCCCAATGTAGGTTGCATTTACACACATAAAAAGAAATGGAATTTTGGCCGGGTGTGGTGGCTCATGCCTGTAATTCCAGCACTTTGGGAGGCCCAGGCGGGCGGATCAAGAGGCCAGGAGATCGAGACCATCCTGGCTAACACGGTGAAACCCCGTCTCTACTAAAAATATAAAAAATTAGCCGGGTGTGGTGGCGGGTGCCTGTGGTCCCAGCTACTCAGGAGGCCGAGGCAGGAGACTGGCGTGAACCCGGGAGGCGGAGCTTGCAGTGAGCCGAGATCGCACCACTGCACTCCAGCCTGGGCGGCAGAGCGAGACTCCGTCTCAAAAAAAAGGGACAAAAAAACCAAACACCGCATGTTCTCACTCATAGGTGGGAATTGAACAATGAGAACACTGGGACACAGGAAGGGGAACATCACACACAGGGGCCTGTCGTGGGGTGGGGGGAGGGAGAGGGATAGCATTAGGAGATATACCTAATGTAAATGACGAGTTAATGGGTGCAGCACACCAACATGGCACATGTATACATATGTAAAAGACCTGCACGTTGTGCACAAGTACCCTAGAACTTATAGTAAAAAAAAAAAAAAAAAAAAAAAAAAAAAATATATATATATATATATATATATATATATATATATATATATATATGAAAAAAAAAGAAATGGAATTTCGAGACAAGTGTCCAGTGAACTCAAGGGGGTGTCAATCATAATATTGTAAATCTGGGTTTATATATAGTTCCAGAGCTTCTTTCTAAACATTCAAGTCAACACAGCTATATTTGCCACTGATAAACTAGAATTATTCTCCGTTTATTAAAAAATCTTTTAAGATTTATGCTACACATAGAAAAATAGACCACACACCTTTCTTTCCATTCTTTCTGAGCCTTGTTTTTTAAAAAAATCTACCACTCTCTTTACATGAAGCTGAAACATTCAGGAAATAATTAGTCCAAAAACTTTCAGAGACATATTCAGAGACATAGCCCTGGTGATTTGGGAGTTACAGTGCTATCTATAAATTATTCAAAAATAAAACACATGTAAACAAACTGTATTGAAATCATTATAACATATCCACAGTGTTTATATGTATTTAAACATTTCTTAAAGTTCAAAATAATATTTTCACATAAGGGTACATATACTTTTTCTGGTTAGGAAATATATGAATCAATGTTGTTGGTTTCTGTTTTTAAATAATGAGCCTGTTTTTGTTTATATATCTGTGATAACATTTTGACCTGGCTTAAGATGAATGAGACATCTTAACATCTTTTGCTATAAGAGAGTGATCTGATCTAGCCTGGTTTTCAGCAGAGTACACAAAGTATCTTCGCTTTGATTTTAATAACTCTGCCATCATTAAAAATGAATGCTGAAATGCGTTATTCACATGGAGGAGGCTTTCATTATCCAACATGAGGAATTATAGCTGATTTTTCTGCATCATTGTCATCAGTACTAGAATACTGGATAATCAAGGATCTTGACAGTTGTTTCTCCTGAGTCTTCCACAAAAACTTTTAAAAAAGACTCCAATTTAGAATGCCAAGGAAAATCCATGACTAACTTAACATATAAAAAGAGGAGTATAATAAACTCTTATATAAGAGGCTCTATTTAGAAGTTAAAAATCACCCCTTATTTCTACTTAAACCCATGTCTGAAGGACATACTACAACTCAAAGTAACCCATAAATCTGAGCTAAAATCACCCTTTTCCCTGGTGGTCCAGGATCTCCCATTGTGCCATCTCCTCCAATGCACTTGCAGAACAAACAGCAGCATGTCCTTTCAGCAACATTGACCTTGGGAGAGGGTAAGAAATACATTACATTTGGTGGTATTGCTTCCCAAATCTCATATACAAGTTCAACCATGCGATCCAGACTTCTACCACAGTTTCAGAAGCCTGGTCACCATTCAAATGACTGTGCTTTAGAAAGAATGCATGAAACTTTTTTTTTTTTTTTTTTTTTTGCTTCCATCTTTTCTTCTATCATCTGCACTCTCCACCATTTCAGGTATTCCAAATCAACTCAAAAATGTTTCTGTGTTTTCAAATTGGTATCAGTTTAGCTATGGCAAACTGACTGCATGCCAACTGATGTGGTTGTCTGTCCCTGCCCCATCTCACTCTAGCACTGACTATGATATTGTCGATTTCCCTATATATTTCTGCCCCAAATATTTTGTTCAATAAAATGAATGCATGCTATTTTCCTCATTTTGTGAAATCTTGGTATGCTAGAGAATTTAGACAGTGCCCAATGTAACATGTCTTGGAACTAAGTCCAATGGTTAACTCTTCCAAAGCAATTCTGATAGGATTTCAAAAACACAACTTACACGTGCAATATTTTGGAAGCACTTGCTGTAGGGGATTGGGGCACAGGAGAATATTACTCTTTATACTCTGGTAAAAACATCTATATCATATATTTTAAAACATTAATAAATGTCATCCTGGACTTACCCAGCCATCCCTTGAATAGATGACATATTGCTTTACATTTTTACAATTAACTCACCAGATTTACTTTTAGAAAAATTCTATTTTCAGATAAATGTTATACTTCACTTTAGTGGGGCAGAACCAATCTTTGTATTGTGAAGTTTCCCAATAAATTTCTAGTGCAATGAAAAATGAAAATCTTTTGTTATAGTCATTTAGCAATTTTCTCCCTTTGATTGTTTCCTACTATATAATGTTCCTTTTCTGACATTATGAAATTCTTTTTCCTGACAATTTCAGAAAAAGCAACCAAACTGGAAATGTGTGAAAGCAAACAATAACAAAATGGATACTATGATTTTATATCAGATAACATCAATTTTCTTTGGATCACCAAAATTCTACAGCATCAAATCTATTACTATTAACATTAAAACTGATCTATGATTAAGTTTTTCTTGTAGAGTGTTCCATTTATATGATATACAAAAACTGAGAGGTTTGTTTGAAGAAGAATTTCCTTCCTCTATGAATTACCAAAGAGATTTCAAACAGTAGTCGACAGGAAAAAAAGACACATTTTGTAAAAACACTGTCTTCCCATGTAGAAAGGAATTCCAACAAAACTTTCATATTCTATATGTAATTATTTTTACATAATTACAACACTGAACAAGCTGCTTAAATACCTATGTGTATATGAATTTTATAGGTGGAAAACAGCAGGAGCTAGCACTTCCTTGGAAAGTGTTCTCATATACTGATTAAAGATTTTATAAGTTATAAGCAAATTACAAAATTACTAGCAATTCATTAAAGTAGAAGTAGAGCCACACAGAGCTTGCTGACACTTTACCACTTGAGTTTGAATTCTCGTATGTTTTTGAAAGAAATACAATTGAGATACATCTTATACAGGCATTAGGTTTAAAAATAGAACATAAGATGACGTCAGGAGTTCAAGACCAGCCTGGCCAACATGGCAAAACCCTGTTTCTACTAAATATACAAAAATTAGCCGGGCATGGTGGCGGGCGCCGGTAATCCCAGCTACTCGGGAGGCTGAGGCAGGGAGAATTGCTTGAACCCGGGAGGCAGAGATTGCAATAAGCTGAGATCACAACACTGCACTTCAGCCTGGGCGATAGAGCAAGACTGTCTCAAACAAACAAAGAGAATATAAGGTAGAAATCTCAAGGAGTCACAACCCCTAATCTTTCAATTGCTCATAAAGTACAACATGTGAGGTTTACTGTCACTAGGCATTTCCTCCAGCTTTAGAGCAGATTGCTCTTTCTCTAGTTGAACTCCAAATGTAATTTGCTTTCATTTACAGGCCTTATCCCAGGAAAAATACACATCTTAAACACTAGAATTACACTCAGTACGGAAAGCTGTTATGCCTAGGATCTGCAAGCGGTGTGAAAACTGGCTGGTGGAGGTTAACGGCCGATTCACGCTCGCATCTCAGATTCTTTTTGTCACTTATGTTCTTTGGCTATAATTTGGACATGATTGTGGGTGCTATTTAAATTTTCTTCTTTTTCCCTCTTTCCTCCTCCTATTTTTGCCCAGTGTATAAATTAAACATGCTTTGACATCTCTTTACTGTATTACATTTCTTCCAAACAAACCCTCTTACTTAGGCTGTTCACTAATTCATAAAAACCTTTCTTCACTCCCAAATAAACACAGTAAGTTCAAATTCTTAAGCATAAGTATTAAACTTATATACAAAATAATTGAAAATTTAAGCTCACCAGCCTTTTCAGAATAACTTACCAGCTGCTTTGACAGCCGGCTTCCAAGTTCTCTCATGCCAATAGAGAGCTGTGTCCTGTACTCAAATCCTTTCCCAAATTCAATATAGGGAAGATCAGCCAAGTCACTTGAATCAGCAGGTCCATCCAGAGCAACAGTTATGAGGGCATTCAGGCCTATCCAACACAGTTTACAATGTTCCAGGTGAGGTGGGTTTGGTTACTTTAGTTTTTTGCAAGCATATTTAAATTGTTATTCTCAGTGAACAGCTGCAAGAAGAACAGTCAGTTTACTGTCCACTTCCCCCAAACACATGATGTAAACCTGACAAGTGACAAGACTATAATAAGAGTACAAAAGGAATTATGTTTTTCAAAACTAAATAAATTGGAGACAGGGAAAATTGTAACACAACTTCCAGTTCCTTGATTTGAAGGAGACAGTTCTAAAAGATCTACAGAGCATGCTAAAGTAAAGAGAAATTCACACACTAAGAAAATCCAGCTTGGGCAACATGGCAAGATTCCACCTCTACAAAAAATTTACAAAATTTTACAAAATTAGCTGGGCATGGTGGCATATGCCTGTGGTCCCAGCTACATGGGAGGCTGAAGTGGGAGGATCGCTTAAGCCTGGGAGGTTGAGCCTGCAGTGACCTGTGATTGTGCCCCTGCACCCCAGCCTGGGCAACAGAGCAAAACCCTGTCTCAAAAACAGAAAATACATGTTCTACATTTTTGCCACTCAGTGGAGGATCCTTGAAGCAGCAGCACTGGCATCACCTGGGGGCTTATCAGAAATACAGAATCTCAGGCCCCATCCCACACTTACTGAATCAGAATTTGTATTTTAACAAAATCCCCAGGTGATTTGTATACACATTAAAATCTGAAAAGCACAGCTCTGTACGATCTGATAAGACATCAATAACCCAGTTGCACCTATAAGTAGTAAAAGAGTAACAGGCCTATTGTCAGGCAATTAGGAACAGATGACACACAATCATCCAGGAGCTGTGGCTCGGAGGCTTTGGGGTTTTATGAATACAATTATTTCAAAGAAAACTGTTGGTTAAGGACCAACATAGGGTTGCCAATGACTTATTTTGCTAGGTAAGAACATTAAATAATGATGGTAATAAATCTGACAGTCATTATGGTGGAGGAAGTAATTCAGCAACAACAGTGCTATCATTTGTTGATAGAAACTGTGTGCCTGGGAAATGGTTAAGTGCTTTACATGCATTATCTTATTTGTAAGGTTCGAATATAACTCTATTGGTATGTATAATTATAGTCCTATTTTACAGACAAGCAAACAGACTTGGAGAGGTTAAATGACTGCCTGTAAGTGGTATTTTTAGGTTTTTTACCCAGATAGCCTAATTCCATAGCCTACATTCAAAGGATATTCTGACAATAAAAATGTGCTAAAGATATAATCTTGGAATAAAGGGCAGTCTTAAAATCAAATACGTTTAGCTTCATGTAAACCTTACTCCACTGGCAACATTTTTCTCATTTTATTATTGATGGGTAAAGAATCCTTTGATGAGAATTGGGTACCAATGAACCAGAATAGATAAATGTTCAAGGACTTGGCTGAGAGTCAAGAACACCTTCTTAAATAAATTTATATGATATGATTTTATATGAAATGAGTAGATGAAGAGAGAAATCAAGAGAATGAAGTTTCAGGGACATATTGGAGAGGTTCAAGTTCCAAGAGAGGCAAACAGAATGGTTAGCTGCAGTGGAAGAAAGAAAGAGGCCGGGTGCGGTGGCTCACACCTGTAATCCCATCACTCTGGGAGGCCGAGGCAGGCGGATCACAAGGGCAGGAGATAGAGACCATCCTGGCTAACACAGTGAAACCCCATCTCTACTGAAAATACAAAAAATTAGCCGGGTGTGGTGGCAGGCGCCTGTAGTCCCAGCTACTCGGGAGGCTGACACACGAGAATCACTTGAACCTGGGAGGCGGAGCTTGCAGTGAGCCGAGATGGCACCACTGCACTCCAACCTGGGCAACAGGGCAAGACTCCATCTCAAAAAAATAAATTAATTTAAAAAATAAAAAAAATAAAAAAAGAAAGAACAAACGAACCACCAAAGAAAAATAGGGTGACAATTTGTCCTCATTTCCTGGGACTTTCCTGGTTCTAGTGTTGAAAGTTCCCATCTTGTTCCCAACAAAACAGGATAGTCGGTCATTCTTCTAGAATGAGAATGAGGAGGGGGAGAAAAGAGGTTGTAGAGTGGGCTGGGATATGAAATGCTTGTACATCAATTGGTGTTTAGTTATCAAGAGAAGGCATGCTAATGGATCTACTTATAAGAGAAATGAAACCTTCTGTCATCTGATTTTTCTTATAATACCCAGGAAATGTAAAATTTTAAGAGTCATAAGAACCAGGGGATTGTTGACTTGCAAGAAATATGCATATAACTATTATTTATAACTGTTTTTCTTGGGATCAGGGGACTCCTATCTTCTTTCAGACTCATCCAATAAATGAGTCACATGATCCTAAATACAATGTTTTCAATTTTCTAACAGTGAATTAAGAAAGAAAAGATTTTCAAACTTGGGAGAATAAAGAATCACTGAGTAGATTCTAGGGTATTCAATTCTAAAAAATTAATTAATTTAAGCCCCATTCCATGTGCATAAGTTTTACAGCCACGTCCGCCATCAAGGATTGTTTTTTCCTTGTCTCCTCTTGTTCAGTGATGATTGCATACTTTACACATATTGATGCCCGGCCTGAAATTAAGGAAGCTTTCCTAGGTGAATAGATCATAGGGCCCAGCACCAAGTGAAGTCCTGTGTAAGTATGGGAAGCCAGCGAGAGAGATACTTCTTGTCCATACAGAAAACCACTTTCTTTACTTTATTAAAGAAAAAAACAAAACCAAAAAACTCAGGAGATCCTTTGAGATCTTGCTTGGTGTAAGTCTGACAGGTGAAGAAACTGGTAACCAAATTATTCACACTCAACCATGTCAAAGATGGTCACTTTCAAAGAACTAGACACTTTTCAAAGAACATTATTGCCATGATTTCTCTCTTCCATTGGAAGAATCTAAATATCTGAGGATATTATTCAAAATATAGCTTCTGAAGTTGATACCCATTTACTAGTTTTTCAGTAGGCATTGGAAGAAAGATACTTGGTCTTAGAATTCTGGATATTCCAAAGCACTTCCTGGAAGAAACTCTACTGTCCTTTGCAAGAGAAATACCTTTTCCCCACAAAGGAAAAGCTGAAATAAAAGAAAACAAAATAACAGCAACCACCAAAACAACCCTACCCATCCCAACTAAGCACTCTAGTATCTTTTTTCAGTCTTAATTAAAACCTTCATTACAGCTCATGAACAAAGGCCAAGACCAGAGAGAATAAAAACAAGGCATACTTCGTAAATAAGGGATAAAATAAAAACTTTACTCCCTAGTAGTAAACTCAGATAATTTTGCAATTTGTTGAAGACTGGAGAGAGAGAACAAAATAGAAAAGACAAAGTCCTGTCAACCCCTATTAGCTAACCTGAGAGATAATGTCTTAGGTCATGTTCCCTAGAAACAGAGTTTGAGATAAGGATTTGGAGGTACACAAATTGTTGAGGAAGCACTTTCAGAAGAAAGGGAGTGAGGAAAACAGGATAGGGCAGGGGAAGTTGCTGAGCAAGAAGACAGTGTTGCAGCTGGAGTCTAGCTTTATTTAGCCTGATCCCAGGAAGCTCTGGAGCATAAATTGCAGCACACCACTGGTGTCATTTAGAGGCAAAGGTCCAACTCTGTAATCTTATCTGCTGCCCAAGGATGGGGTGGACAGCAACCTTCCAGGTGAGGCAGCTCTACTGTCCAAGGGCAATTCTTCAGAGAAGGAGTAAGCTGTGAGTTGTTAGCAGCTAGAGGATAGGTGAATCTGCCAGTAAAGGAGATCTGGGTAGGGCAGAAATAGCACCCACTTACAGAAGAGGACTTCTATTCTGAGTCAAACAAGAACTTCTTTGTTTGACTAAACAAGAACATCCACATGTTCTTGTTTGACTCAGAATAGCTTTTGGTTCAAAAGCCAAAAGCCTGGTGCCAGAGCTTAAAAATCTCAAACACCATGGTTGGCCAATCCATGGTCTGAAGGAAGGAACTGATTAGAAAGCTGCAAAACATGAGTAAATTTATCCAAAAATGCTTGCAACTCTGGGAACTTTAAGAGTGTTAGAAGAAAACTGACTCTCATTCCCTGGTCAAGGAGAAATATACTCTTCTCTTCTGGTGACACTAAAGAAGTAGCAATATTAGACAATGTGGGGCGAGAGAGAAAGGAACATTCTCCAGGAAAGGTCAGGAAGAAGAAATACAGTAATATGAAACAAAGGATAGGACTTTGTATTCAGTGCTGTTTCATACACATGAGGCATGAGGAAAAAAGTGGATGTCAAAATATTCTGAGAGCTCATTTGTTCTGCCTAGTACATACAGAATACGGAGATTGTCAAAATCAGGGTTATTCAAAATTTAAGAGCCTGGAAATTTAAGAGCCAGAATTTAGTTCTGAGATTATAAAGTTAATAAGCACTCCCTTCCCACTTCTCCATACTCAGTACCTTCTTTTCTAAGTTCATCAGATTTTTGTTCAAGTTTCTCAACATCATCATCCAATCCATCTGAAAATAAAAGGACCACCTAAGAAAGTATTCAAAAAAAGTAAAATGAATTAAAAAGGGTTCATTGCAATCATAGACCAACAAATAAGATAAATCCATGTTACCTTTCCTCGAGCAGCTGATTTATTCTGAAATGTATCCCATAGAGAATCCAAGAGGTTTGCATTGAGAAGAGATGGTCCTTTAACTGTTATATCCTTCAAGCTATTCAGTATGTTTTCACTGTAGATCTCAAACTTGGGAGAATATTTTTCCATGGCATTGGTCACTTGAAAAGCCACACTGACCTGAGTCTCTGTGCCCACCTCACAGCTTACTCCATTGAGGGAGCTGATGGCACGTAAGATGTCTTGAAGGTAGGTTTCCATCCAAGGCTGACCTTCAAGCAAAGTCTGCCCTTTCTCCTGAGTTGAGACATCAAATCCCACCACAACATCCACGAAACAGTCTAGGATTCAAAGGAAAAGCATGTCTTAATAAATCAACAAACGCCTTTATTTAACTCAGACACCATGTCTGAATCAAGGGACTTGGAATTCTATTTCAGTTATAAAGTTGGAACACAAAGAAAGGCATAAATGAATAAAGAAAGAGGCTAAGAATCAACTCTTTTCTAACCTGTAAAAGTGTAAGGGTTCATTATTATTTTTTCAGGTCATATAAAATCTGATGATTCTATAATGAAGTTCTGAAAGATTTTATTTTAGCTATTGAAAAAGTCATGCAGAATCATTTAAATATCCCTAAAGTACACTGTGGAAATGTCATTAGTCTAAAATAAGACATTCATATAATGCTACTTATCAATTGAGGTCATTCAACAAATATTAAATTACAATAATCATAAGGGAAATTTAAGAACATTTGAATAAAGTCATCTAGAAAAAAATAAATCACAAAGGACTCATCTAAGGAATGGTTTTGATGATTTATATTTCTAAAAAGGGCCTTTTTGATTCCTCTTGTTGTCTTCTAACATCCATGCAGAAAAGAAAAAAAAAAAAACTAAAAAATTCAGGAGATCCTTTGAGATCTTGCTTGGTGTAAGTCTGACAAATGAAGAAACTGATAACCAAATTATTCACATTCGACCATGTCAAAGATGGTGCTGCTTTCAGGAGCTCAGCCATTCCAGAAGCCACGGACACTGCCATTTTGAGGTTAAATACTTAGAGGCATGTTGCATTAAAGTGCTTTGCTCTTATTCTTATTAATTCTAGGGAAACTTAAGAGTTGGAGAAACTAGAAAGGGCTTGATATTTTAAGCTGAGTGTCCTAAAGGCAGTTAATTAGAGAACAATAAAGTCATGTGACTCATACACTCTCCTTTCACGAATTTTTAACTTGGCTAAAAACTCTAATTTTTTTCAGCAAACTGAACACATACAGCTTGCTTGATAAAATGAGTGGTTGTTTTTAATTTGGTTTGCTTAGATCAGCAATGTTTAAGATATTCCTTGTAAAGACAAATGCTTAACTACTTCCCAGACACACTGGTCAGTTGGACATTTGCAAATGCTTAAAACCAAAATCATCAATTTCAACTTTTAAAACAAGTGTTGGCAACTTGATTTTTAATGAGAATTGACTGAGGGAAAACAAAAATTTTATTTGATAATCAATTTTCATCATGAGATTCAAGGTAAATCAAAGTGTTATCAAAAATCTGGAAGACTGAGCATCTTATTTTACTGTATTTTATTGGAAATCTCTTCTTCATCAGAAAATAAGATAAACTATTTAGAAAAAAGCAGAATATATCCTTTCCAAAATTCCTCTTGCATCTACGTCTTCTCATATCTGTCTTGAGCTTGAAAGTTTCATTTTTGATGATGACTGTTTAAACCTGAGCAGAAAACCAGGTAGTAACCAAGATATGATAATGTCTTTAAGGAAAACAGAATTGTGTGAAAAAAACCAACCAGCAGAAATACCAAAATGACATCAAGTGACCTTGGGAACTGTTGCCTATAAACATTGTGTATTTTAAATTTTTGTCTAGATTGCTGAACGTACAAACTTATTTAGGTAAACAAGTTCCTTGTGTTTAATTTGAATTGACAAATGATTCCATAATAATGTGATAGAAGGAATGGAATTTGGTGGACAAGTCCAGAATTAGTAACCATGTGTCTAAGTACAGTGAGAGAGACCAAACCATACTGAGCAAGAGGCTCTCATGCAACAGCCTAAAAACTCCACTGAGACATCTGCCCTTAAATCAGGAGCCCTGTCTTGAAGTCTTCCATGACACAGGTTGTACTTTAAAGTGAATCTGCCATTGGTGACTTGAAAGGACTGGAGGCAGGGAGTTTTGGAAGTGAGCTAGGGAGAAAGCTGAAATTGGATTTCCAAAGAAATAATGAAGAATTAAAGTAGGATAACAGCAGTGGGAATAAGAAAGGGCTAATAAAAGCAAAATATTTAAGAAGGTAATTGGCAGGACTGGCTACAGAGGGTGATAAGAGAAGTAAGAGTAGCCCGCTGAGCCCTTGACTAGTCCTCCAAATAGCAATGTGGAATCCTGGGGGGCAAGTCTGTGAGTGGGAAGACAGAAGTTCAGTTTCAGTCACATGCTGGTCACCATTCTGTTACTGCCAAACTACTTTTGGCAACTCTTATCCTCTCTGGGCATTAATTTTCTTGTCTATAAAAATAAGGGGGTTATATATTTCCAAGTAAAAATACAAAAGCACAGAAAAGAGTGAATTGGATCAGACAGTTATAGTCTCATTGTTTCCTGCCAAGCCCAAAAGCTGATTCTAATTATTAATTTATAAAGACAGTACTTAATTGGAGCTGATGATGGCAGATTCTTGGTATTAAGAAATACTGTCAAGAGGCTAGGGTACATTTGTAAGATTAGAAGACAGATTCTTGAGAAAATACTTTAAAGGGGAAAGTGGCAGTTATTAGCTGGGATAGGAGAGAAATCTGTTTGGGACTTTGAAAGATGGGGTATTTTAGATTAAAAAAGAAAGGATCATCTATAAAGTATAGCTAGGGACTGTTAGAGACTCAGTTTATATACCTCCCAGATTTGCTTCCTCCCTTTCCCAAGGCGTAGACATTTGTCCACGGAAGAGCCCTAGCTGCCATCATCCTTAGTCTGCTAACCGTGGAAGTGACAGCCTGGCTTTGACACAGCCTCCACCATGCTCACTGCAGAACGGCCACCTTGGCTCTGGTGCCCGTGTGCAACCCACGTGAACTTAGGGAGGCCCTGGTCCCTTCAGCATTTCCTGCCCTAGGTGTAGTGCACTGTGGGACCTGTTTCTGATTTCCCCAGCAGTTTCCATAAGGGGCTGGATAACGCAACCCAGTAGTGTAGGGAAGTTAACTCTCTGACTTATGAGAGGCAGTAGATGGGAAGCAATTGGCAGGTAAATCCTCTCTTTTATTCCCTCTGCTGGGCTGGTATACACGGTGGTTTTATAGGGCTTCTCTAGTGATGTTCTGCATGACCAACGCACCAGTTATGCTTTCTTAAGCTGTGGCTAACTTGGTAACATACTACCTTGTATTTACTTTCCCCTCCTTTCCCGCATCACTTCCCTTCCATTCACTCTTGCTTCCCTGGGACTGCACTCCCAATAAAGTATTGGCATGTAAACTCTGCTTCAGGCTCTGTTTTCTGGAGAACCCAGACCCAGTTAAGGCAGGAATATAAAAAGAGCTCCTTATTAAGAAAAGTTGGACATGAACATCTATTTTTTTCCTTATATTTTTCACATCTCTTGAATCAAATCCTGAGGTTGTCTCTTACCCTAATGAGACTAATCTTTTGCTCAGTCTCCCTCTTGATTCATCTATCCATAATGATAGATACATCAGATGAGAGATGCTCCTGATTCTCTGCTACCTAATCATGGCTCCATGCTAAAAAAACAGGCAGAACCTCCACATCCTAAAAATTGCTCAAAGTCTCCTCTAGTGGACAGAATAGCCAGTCTCAAAGAAAAACCAAGAAAATAAGCATGGATAAAGGTGAGAAAACAGTTGCTTAAGAAAATACCACGTATATTTATTAAATTTGAATATAGCTCTGAAATGTGGCTAAAATATTTAAGTCCCTAAACTAAGGAATTGTTGGTAAATTGTCCTCCTGTGAATTAACCCCATTACTCCACAAATTTTCATTCAAGACATCCCTTCATGGTACTCTCAGCAACGTGCTATGATATTAGCTAACTCTCAATGAACACTTACCATATACTTCCAATTCACTGTCTCACTTCTCCTCATAAGACACAGAATAAGTAGAAGCTCTTTTTCATTTTGCAGATGAAGAAGCTGTGACAGAGAAGCTTGCCCAAGATCTCACAGTTAACACTGTGTCTCTCACACTTGGGATTCAGATCCAGACTTCTCTGGAGTCCACATGCTGAACCACCTTATTCTACCACTTCCTGGTTAGCCAGTGATGACAAGTCATGCAGGTTGCTAGTTCTACTACTAGGTTATGTTATTGGAAGTGACAGCAGGAAGTGGTTTCCTTAGGGAATATCAGCTTGTGGAAACAATTTCAAAGATACAACCCTATGATGTCTTAATAAGCTCCAGCTATTAATTGGTGAAGCACAACACTTAGATATTAGTTCTTTATAATGTCAATATCAGATAACCTAGACAATAACTATATCAAGAAAACAGCTTAATTTAACAAAAAAGTCAGGGATGGGGGTGGTGAGAGGAACAGACGGGGGTCAGACAACCCTAGGTTTCAAAATGTGCTTAGTCTTACTTCCTGTATGATCTAGACCAGGCTACCAATATTCCCTTGAACCCCAGTTTCCACATTTATAAATGAAAACAAAAACACCAACCATGTAAGATGTTGGGAGAATTGAGTGAGATAGTACATTTAAAGTGCTTAGAACACCAGGCTTGACCCTTCGTAGATGCTCAAAAAATAATGATTCTTAGTCACCTCCATCATACCTCCATGCGTCTGACCTCCCTTTCACATATGTTGAATCACAGTATACAATTAGAGGAACTTTTAGAGATTATTTAGATTTACAAACCAGAAAACTAAGACTCAGAAATGGTACTGACATCTCCAAAGTTATGCATATTTTAATAAGAAGCACAGCAAGTGTTCAGGCCTTAAGTCCAGTTTGTTTTGAACCATACCCAGCTACTGTCTGATTTCCTTGTTTTGGGATTTATAGTTTAAAAAGAACTGGCATCCCCTAATATATTTGTACATGCCTTTGAAGCTTTATCAGTGTTCATTCCAGCTTCATCAGTCCTCAGCTCATAGCCTGCCTCACATTCTTCCTTGCTGAAGTAATAACCTCAAGTTTATCTTAATATAGAGTATTTTTCTTATTTTTTTTTGCATTCATGACTATTTAAAAAATAACTCATTACTTACTTGGAGTTCATACTTCTGTTTTTTACTTTCCACATGGTTTTCTTTCATCACACTCAGATAGAAACTGGATGGTTCAGAGAGAATTTTCTGCCTAATAATTGGGCTTGAGTATTTCACATGAAACAAGAAATTAATGTGGAAGGTTTGGCCGAGGTAATCAGATACATTCCAAAGTATGTGAAGCAGAACTTAGAGAGTCAGTAGTCCCAAATCAACTACAGAACTCTTAACCTTTAACCTGCACATCAGGTCTTATTAAAGGTTTAAGACTGCAGTTTGGAAAAGTGTTTGGAGAGAGCTGTTGATGTGCTGTGGGCTCTCCCATCAGGCACACACACATATACGCAAGGAGAGTGGGTGACTTCCTTTTCAAGCTGAGAGAGGGGCTTTCAGAGATAATCTGGAGATAACCTAATCCTGGAAATTCTAAAGCATGAGACACAGGATGGAATATTGCCCTCCCTACAAAGAAGAGGCAATCACGCTGGAGGGCTGTGATTCCCAGTTTTTATTAGGGCAATCGATATGTTATTGTTGACCATGGAGCTGATATGGCTGAGTAGAAGAGCAAGCTGTTGTGGGCTCCTCTGATCTCCCATCTAAGAAGCCCCTGGAGGGGACAGAGAAACCTCAGCAGAACAAAGCTGGAGGCATCAGCAGATGCCCAGAGGCTGAGAAAGGCATAAGGGACACTCTGGAATAGAGACATACTTAGCCTCCTAAAAAAAAAAACTGTGATGGAGAGATCTTTAGACAAAGGTGGCTTGGTTGGGGAGGTGATGATGTGGGGCAGGAGGTGGAATCTTCGAAGGACCTATGAATGGACCCAGCTTTAGACACGGGCTATTTTCAGAGAAAACCAATTCCTGATAAGGGCCATCAGATTAAAAACTTTCCTGTACCCTTTTAGTTGTTCCCCCTTTCCTAGTACCTTCTCCTTCTGGAGAGACCAGAAACTATGGTTAGTAAGATGGAGGAGCACCTGGAAGATGGGGAGTGCAGTGAAAGTCTGGGGACATTGGGAGAAATGTCAACCACTTCTCTCACAGCAAGGCAGCCTGTAGCAAGCTGGAAATGTGGGGTAACCTTGAATAAAATGTAAAGTTTTAACATTACACTGGGATGGACATATTAATCACCAAAAGAAGGTTCTTTTATTTCCTGAAAGTGATGAGGGGCAAAGGAAGAGCTAGCTCCCATTCATAAATTTAATGGTCACTGGTAGATAAAAATGAAGGCACTTTATAATTATATCTCAGGTGTTATGCTCATTAAAGTTGAAATATGCATTTTCTCATTTAATCCTCACAATGTTCTTTTGAACTAGGTACTGCTATTATTCACATTTCAAAGGTGAAAAAATTAAACTTAGAGAAGTTAGGCAACTTGTCCCGGAAAAAAATGGCCATAGAGCAGGGATCTGCTGTCAGGCTGTCTGTCTTCAGAGCTGCCTCTTAATGACCTTGCAACTTTTTTTTTTGAGTGGAAATCTGGGATTAATGTTTACCTTTGGTAGTTATATAGAATCATAACCAACCCATAAGATACCTTTATAACAGAAAAAGTGACTTCTCCTTTAAGACACTTTACTTCCATCTGTTGAAAAAAGTGTCAAAATGCACTAATTGTAAAGAAGATATTTACTAATTTCTGCAGTAAAATTTCATAATAAAGATATAAACCTCTAGGGAGGTTTCTTACCTACCTGTACCACAGCTCTTGGCAGCCCTATAGGCCGTATTGCCAAGCAACCAAAAATCAGTCAAATATTTCCTTTCTTTGAGGCATTGCTCTTCAACCTCTGAAACCAGCCAGATTGCAAACAATGGCCTTTTCCTCACACCTGAAGGCAGGCATTCCCACTCACAAAGGAGGCATGCTCCCCCAGGAGACAGGGAGAAAAAAGGGCACAGGATATCAAACACCCTGTTTCTCAATCCACAGGTCAAGACAAATATTTAATAACTGTGAAAAGCTCAATTTGAAATCCAGAGGCACAAATCTAAATTCTCCCACTAGCCCCAGGGGATGACAATGGAGCTGGAAGAAAATGCCAGAGAAGATGGTGTAGGGAATCGAATGAAGAACTTGCTAAATACTTACTGCTTTCACCCGCTGTGGTACAGATGTTGCGAACGATCCTTTTATTGACCTTCTTCAGTTCATCGAAGTTGTGCACTGTCAGTTTTTTCTCTGCAGTCCCGGTGATCTGAATGAGCTGCTGGTCATCCACATCCCCAATGCCCACGGAGTAGATGTCGATACCTCTGTGTCTCAGGGCTTCCGCGGCCTGGGCCACCTCGTCTTGGGACTGGCCATCTGTAAGGACCAGCAGCACCTGTGGGGTACCTGTATTTATCCTGCTGCCCATGTCTGGCCTGAAGTAATGTTCCACCTCCCTGAGTGCAGCACCGATGTGTGTGTTTCCAAAGATCTGCTTGATGTTTTCAATCTGAAATGATATCTCTTTTTCACCTATGAAAGTTCCCAGTGGAAACTCCGGGTGATAGGTATCGCTAAACTGGGCCGCTCCTATTCGCACTCTGTTGAGGCTGACATCAAAGTCTTGAACAACAGATGCCAGAAATTCCTTCATTTTCTTGAAGTCATTTGGCTGAATGCTAGTTGAACCATCCATAAGGAAAACAAGATCTACTTTGTCAATTTCACAATCTACAAAGAAGAGAAGGAACAACAGAAAACCCAGATTGTTATTCTTTCCTTAATCCACCAAGAGTAAATTCAATGTTTGCAGCTATAGGCCGGGCGCGGTGGCTCACTCCTGTAATCCCAGCACTTTGGGAGGCCGAGGCGGGCAGATCACAAGGTCAGGAGAGCGAGACCATCCTGGCTAACATGGTGAAACCCAGGATCAACTAAAAAAAATTAAAAAAATTAGTTGGGTGTGGTAGTGGCTGCCTGTGGTCCCAGCTACTCGGGAGCCTGAGTCAGGAGAATGGCGTGAACCCGGGAGGCGGAGCTTGTAGTGAGCCGAGATTGTGCCTCTGCACTCCAGCCTGGGTGACAGAGCAAGACCCCGTCTCAAAAAAAAAAAAAAAAAAAAAGTTTGCAGCTATATAGAAATATTTCTGAAAGTGGTTTCTTATCTTATGCTAGCATGTGGTCACAATAATTGTAGAGGAAATAAAGGCAAATGATCAGCTCTTAAAGTCAGTACAAGGAATGAATCACTCACACATCTTTTTATGCTTCTCTTGGCTTGTTGATTTGGTATTAGGCCATTTTATTTTCTGAGATGCCAGAGAACTGGGGCCAGCGCTATGGAAAACTTGTTCTCATCTACAACCTAGCCTCAGCTCTTCCAGAAAGCCCGGTGACAATAGTAGCACACCAAGAGAAAACAAAACACACATACATTTAGGGATTCAAACAAAGAGGCAGATAGTTCATGTTATTGACTTAGCCTCCCTGGTCATTTGAGCCAATAAATATTTTTCTAGTTCATTAGGGCATATTGAGAAGAGGTTTTAAAAGGATGCCTTTTGGTCTGTATCTAGTCAGTTTTCCTTTTTATCAGCCCCTTTCTGCTGTATGTAGGCAAAAATATCTATTTGAGAAAAATATTTGTGAACAAGCAATGCAATATAAAGATGCTTCCCCCATATTAACACAGCAAATATAAAACAAGAAGAACATGAGAGACCACTGCCAATGAATGAGTTATGCTTGGCACATGTGTGTTCCTTAGCTTTCTGGTAAGCATGATCGTTTCCATGAATTCCCCAGTGATCTCACCACTCTCCGAACTTAGTTCTCATCATAGCCTCAGAAATATTAAAGGTGTCTGAGATTCCTGAAGTCCAGGTAAGCAAGGAAGTGATAAGAAGAAATATGGTAAATCGATCCTTTAGGAATTGGTTAACTTATTAAATTGTTTCAGATTTCAATAAAGGAAATCTAGTACTGTTTTTCTGTCCCAAGGAGAATTTTCAATATGAAAATGCAATGTCAACTTCTACAGTGAACTGGAGAAGGATAGATCCAATTTTAGACAATGGCTACAAGGAAGGAAGAGATTTGTCCCAGTTTTCAGTAAGACCCAGAAAGATTTTATTAGTTTTGTGAAAGAAAAAGATAGTAGCTGCATTCTAAGGAGGCAAGGCTTAGGAAAACCAGAGAAGTTAGATGAGTTTTAAAAAGAACTACTATATCTAGATGTTGGAATCATGAATTAATAGCAATTCATCTAGTAAAAACATTTAGTATCTTTAGTAAAATACATCTTGGGAAAATTACTCAGGAAACTAAGTAGAGAACAATCTTTCTCTGAACCAAAAGTATAAAATGATAGTAAAATGATGAAGGAAGGAATACATACATACATGCAGCAATGCAATCTCCAGCTGCCAGAATAGAAGCCCCACTATGCTCTGTCCTGGAAACTTCTGAGGCTGGAACAGAGTTTTTAATACTGGGCTTCACATTTTAAATGACCTTCTGCCACAATTGAAATAAGCAAAGAAGCTGGTGACTTCTAGCCTGAAGGAAAGAAGACTTCAGGCAATTCTAGCTGGTTCTTAGGAGGAGAATTTGTTTCTTGCATAAAGAGGAAAAAGAACTAGTGGGTGGAAAAATGTGTAAGCACATATGTGTTCTAATGAAGGCTGTTCAAAACTGGTGAATTCAGCTCAGTGTAGTGGCCCACACTTGTAATCCCAGCACTTTGGGAGGCCAAGGGGGGCAGATGGCTTGAATCCAGGAGTTTGAGACCAGCCTGGGCAACATAGTGAAACCCTGTCTTCACAAAAAAAAAAAAAAAAAAAAATTAGCCATGCCTCATGCCACACATCTGTAGTCCCAGCTCCTTGGGGAGGCAGAGGCAGGATGATCACCTGAGTCCTGGAAGTTGAGGCTGCAGTGAGCCGTGATCATGCTACTGCACTCCAGCCTGGGCAACAGAGCAAGACCCTGTCTTTAAAAAAAAAGCCAAAACAAAACAAAACAAAACAACTTTTGAATTTCCCATCATTAGAAGAGTTTAGGAAGAAGTGATTAGGAATGCTGCAGAAAGTATCTCTCTTTGGGGAGAAGTCTGAATGAAATATGCCCAAGGTCTTTCCAACCCTCAGATTTTATAATATAGAAAGTCCTATGAAACAATTAGAGCTCCTTCTCTCCTCTCTGGAAAACTTGTTCCTGAGAGCCATTGCTTTGCTTTCTCTCTCATTTGTCCCTCTGCTAATAATTAGGAAAAACTTAGTTGGCAAAACTTACCTACTTTTGAAGAGTTGCAGACACTGGCTGTCACATCTGAAAATATTCCCTTCAGACCTCCAAAAGTCTCCACGAAGAAGTACTTGTCGCTTGATCCTGCCATGGCTAACAGCTCCACGGGATTGGCACCATCAATCCCCACAGCCAGGACAAGAATGCCTTTGTCCCGCAAGGCCTTTGCCGTGGCATTGAGTTTATCAGCATCATGGGATTCCCCATCGGTGATCACAATGAGGACTTGGGGGACCCCCTTGTTCAGGCGGCTGCCCCGGGCTTCAGTGAACATGTGGTCTGAGAAGCCCAGTGCCTCAGCAGTATAAGTACTGCCACCCATGGCTTGGTCATTCTGGAGCACTGAAATTACCTCCAGTTTTGTGCCAAAGTCATCCAGATAAAACAGCACCTCTGGGTCATCAGCATACTTCAGAGCCCCAAACCGGACCTGATTCTTGCCCACATCAGCTTTTTTCACTAAGCCAATCATAAAATCCTTCATGATATTATACTCATCATAGTCAATACTGCCAGAGCTATCAATGACAAACACAACGTCTAAAACTTCAATCCGCTTGCATTCTGAAAGAGGAAGAGAGAGGTAAACCATATGAGATTAGCTTTGGACAGCATGGGAGACGCCTCAACCTTTTTATAAATTGCTAGTGTTTTCTCTCCAAGGGGATCATGCTGTGCATTAGAATGTCGGTTCCCTGGATAAGAGGACAATACACATACATTGGTGCTGGAAGTATACAGTTAATACTCACTTAGGTGAGCTTGTAAGATAAGGCGGGAGTCAGTGGGGGCCCACTGCAGGGAGTGGGACGAGGTCAAGTGACAATCACAGGATTGCCAGGAATAAAAAATTTTAAAAGCTTTGGACTAAAAAAATCAATTCTGTGTAAATTTTCCTGTATAAGTGGTTTATCCAACATGTGCTTTCATTTATACAATTTTTTTCTTTTTATTTTAGCCACGATCTTGAGATTTGTATTCTTAATATAAACCTTGGGGAAATGACCAAATGAAAATGAATTTGGCAACACTGTATATTTTTCATGATTCTCTGATGGCTGACTTTTCAAAGTTACTTTTTCCTCACTTTTTGACTTTTTTGAAACATCTATTTTCAGTTTTGGGTTTCATCATAGAAATAAGCCCACTTCGCACTGGGTCCAACTAAGCTGTTCTAGCATGATGCTATTAACTTTTTAAATCTGAGGTCAGCACCATGGAACAGAAAAGCAGGAAAGACCCAATTAATTCTTAATCCATGTGGAGCATGTTCCCTCCAAAGGTGCAGTGTTCCAAAACTAACTCATCCATTCTGGAGAAGGGGAATTGTAAGATGGTTTGTTATTTAGTCCTTATGTAGCACATTCTCTCTACAGGCCATAGAAAGGTATGATCCAAACATTAACTCATCCATTCTTGAGAAATGGAATTGTGAGAAAGCACCCACCCCCCAGAGGCTTGCCACATTTTCTTCTTTCGCCAGCCACTTGCTATGTAAGGGCTGTTGAAAACCTTAGAGCCATTGTACTTATCCCCACTAACTGCAGGCCATGTGTACAGGGCCATCAACAAAATTCCCAAGAAAGGCTGGCTGTACTTGGGAATTTACGTAGAAGAACTATGTCCCCGTGGTCTTTGACTGCCTGGGAAGCCTGCTTGGATTACCCAGGAGACTGGGAATACATTACTCAGTGTCAGAACGCTTCAGAAAGTTCATATTTGTTCTGGGCGAAGTTACCAGGAAATAGAAACCAGGTGTACTCTTTTTCTACAAAATACAGATCATGAGCACCAAACCTTCCAGTGGGAGTTGAACAGAACTGTTATTTGAATAAGCAAACAATGTTCCTCTCTTCCCTTTAAACTCCATGCAGATCTATGTCCTTCATTTTCAGAATGCCTCTGTCATCAAGCCCTATGGGTCACATATAAATCAGCCCCTTATATTGGCTGAGCTTTTATTTGATCATTTCCATTACTCTACATTCCCAGTACTTTTGATCATTTCCATTACTCTGCAGTTTCATGGGAAGACAGTGGGGACTAGGTTCCTTACTTCCTTTGAAGCAACCGTTGCTCAAGTCCTCTTACTATATTCCTGCTTTATAAAATTTAATAACTATCAAAGTGTTTTCGCAAACATCACCTCATTTGATACAAGTATTGGTCTTTAGAAATTGCAAAAATAAGCACCATATATAGTAGATGTGTAGGTCAAAGAGGAGCCACCTTGCCCAGGAGGATAAATGCCAGGGCTGCCTCAGCAACCCACATGTAGCCCACGTGACACAGGGTACACAGGGCTGAGCCCCTCGCCTCAAGGTAGGACCAACTCTGTAATTCATGGTCTGGAGCTCCCCATGGGATCAGGCCAAACTAGACTCCACCTAAGGTGATTTCCTTGTTCAGTTCCTACCCATGCCCTGACCTGTTTCCTACACCCCTTCTGAAAATACCTCCTCAATAAATCACTTCCAAAGAGCCCCTGACTTAACTTCTGCTTCTAGGGAACCTGATCTAAGAACTGGTATGATACCATTTTTCTTAAATGGAGATCCATCACTGTAGTGCTATTTACCTACAAATGGGAATGGGTCTAGGTAAACCAAAACTCTTCCTCACTGTCTGTTTAATTCAACAGGTCAAAGCCACTAGGAGAAACATTTCAATTAAACCAAAAGTTTACAATATGTAAATAGAATTAAATTCAAGAAATAGAGGCTAAAAAAGACATCTGTTGTTCGGATAGTCCTGCTAGTGAGTATGCCCATGCCTACCTTCACGGGGGCTGCATATTCCAAAAACAAGATCATCTTCAATGCGCTGCAGAATGTCAAAATTCTCAACATAAAAAACCATCTCGGGCCTCCCACTGATCTCCTCAAGCTGGGTGACATTGGAGCCAAACACTCCCACAGAATAGATGATTACACCTTCTTGCCGAAGCACTACTGCTGGTTCCTTTACTATGTCCTGAGCTTCACCATCCGTGATGAGGATGAGAAACTTTCTGATGTTGGGCCGGGCGCCCTTGGTGGGGCTGAAGTACTGAGACACAAAGCTCAGGGCACTACCAGTCAGGGTGGTTTGTCCAATGTGAGCCATTTGGTCTATTGCATTTGAAATGTCGCTTTGGGACATGAATCTGTTGAGCTGAAACTCTTCCTTATTGATGTCGCTGAACTGGACTACACCAATTTGCACCCGATCTGGTCCAATCTGAGACTTGCTCACCAGGTTTTTCATAAATGTTTTCATTTTGCTGAAGTTTTCAGGTCCTATACTTCCAGAACTGTCCACCAGAAACATGATGTCAGCTTTCATCTCTTTGCAAGCTGCATAGGAAAAACTGTGATGTTTATTCAAGTCAGCTACATGTAAAAAGTTCAGAGTAAACAGGAAAATCCAAAACACAAATAATTTTATATTGACATGTGTACTTAGTAATAATTAGTAGTAAATAAAGCTTAGAAGACAATAAAAGTGAGAATATTCTATTTGTTATTTAGTAACTTGCTTAAATACATAACTCAGGGTTACTCAACCTCAGCACCATTGACATCTTGGGTATCATTTTTACTGTGCCAAGTCTGTGTGTTGTAGGATACTGTAAAATGCTTTGCAGTATCCCTGACCTCTACCTCTTAGATGACAGGAGCACCCTCCAGTTATGACCATCAGAAATGTCTCTAGGCGTTGACAAATAACCTCTAAGGGTGCAAAATCACTCCTGGTTGAAAACAGGAGCTCTAAATGATTTCATAAAAGCTGTATAAAAAGACATTCATATAAACCTGAAGAACTCCTTACAATCTGAAATCATTTTATCATATTACACGTGTGGTGTACACTCATATATCTATCCTGGCAAGAAATTGTGAGAGGAAGCTGATTAATACTTATTAGGGAAATTCCTCCAAATATTTTTCTTATGCTTCAGATATTATTTAGAACAACAGTATAATGGGCTCTTAGCTTTGTTCTAGAGAACACAGTTACACAAGTTAACAAATCTCAACTTAGTAATTTATGTTGTTTTTCTAAACCAGCAATGTCAATTATTGCCAGGATAGCAATTTGCGAGTGAAGGTCAGTAGGTAAAGCCACGATTTCTCTTACCTTCTTCAGTACAGATTTCTTGAACAACTTGGTTTCTTATGTCTTTCAATGCATCAAAGTCATGCACGTAATACACTCTCTTTTCCTCTCCTGCAATTTCTCTCAGCTGTGTTTGGTTGGCCTCCTTGATCCCGATAGCATAAACTCGGATGTGCTCTTCTCTCAGTCTGTTTGCAGGCTCCAAGATGCTATCCTTGGACATGCCATTTGTCAGGACAACAAGGTGGCATGGAACTTTGTTTCCTCGCTGCTTCTTTGCTTTTTGCAACAGACTCAGTGTGAAATTCAGTGCTGCGCCTGTGTTTGTATTCCCACCCATCTGCCTGATATTCTCAATGGCCTTTCCCAAATCCTGCTTGTTGGAGTATTTATTGATCTCAAATTCCAAGTCCCAGCTGTCAGCATACTGAACGGCCCCAACCCGCACCTTATGGGGAGCAATGTTGAACATCCCTACCACCTCTGACAGGAACGTCTTCATTTCATGGAAATCTGTGGCCTGGGTGCTCCCTGAGCCATCGATAAGCAGATAGATGTCTGCTTCCTCAGTGTCCACACAACCTAAAAAGGAATCAATAAGTTGCATGTGGCATTTGAGCAAGCATGAAGAAGAAATGAGAGCACATGGAAAGAAGAACAAATATGAACCTCTTCAGACAGAAAAATGGGAAACAGCTTCTAGGCTTAAAATACATGCTTTGTTAGCTTAAAATGGGGGAATCTTAACATCCAAATGAATCGCTTCTGACACTTTAAGACTATTGCCCCAATTCTCTGCCATGAATCAGGATAAGTCTGAATATGGTAGGAGATTTAAAAAATTTGAAGCTGCTTTTTACAAGACACTTCACCCATTAGTAAATAACTGCTTAGCAAAAAGTCAAGTAGTGTGTTGGGAAATGGAGAAGGTGTTTAACTGGACAGGTATTTAACTGGACATTGTGGGCCCATGAACTCTCTTGAGCAAATTATTTACTCCTTACCCGCTCCTAGTCATCTAACTAAGGCTACTATTCATGAGTGAGACAATGACATTTGTAGTAAATATGCTATAAATATTTATGGAAGAATATACACATCTATATGTATACCAATACATAAAAATATTTATAAGTGTATATATGAAACATAAGATACATCACCCTCTGTCTCTGTCCCTGCACTGGTGGATGCTAGAATGGTACCCCACAACAAATTACATAATTACTTTTTCTTCATTCAAATCACACTCCTGTTTATTCTCTAAATTGGAATTTGGAAATGAGGAAAGATGATTTGGGTGAGAAAAGTACAAAAAGAATAAAGAAATAAAGGGAAGAGCAGGGGAACGTGAGAGGCAAAAGAGAGAAAGACAAAAGAAGAGAGAAAAATAGCAAAGGAAGGTATTCTGGAACATGGATGAGTAACAAATCCAATTAAAGCTGCACAAAAGAGGAACTAAAAGGGGAAATCTCTTCTCCCCATGCCAACACCTCAATGGCTTTTATTGTCCCCAAATTAGGCTTCATATTTTCAAGCTCAAGTAAAAGAATTAGGAACTTATCCTTCCCATCCACATCTTCCCAAGCCAATCCACTTTGTATACAGAATATTTGAAAGAGAAGAAAAAAAGAATCCAAACAACCCTTCTTTCAGCAGAAGACCTTACCAGATTTGAGCGTTTCAGTCCTCTCTGAAAAGACAGAGACTGTGTGTGTTATTTGGTTCCGCAGCTTCTTCAGAAATGTCTGGTTGTGAGCAGCCAGGTCAGCGAAGGTCTTCAGTTTGGAGACATACTGCTCAGCAGGGTGGGATGCTATCTTTTCCAACTGGGTGTCGCTGGCGCCCTCTATGCCCAGGGTGAAGATGGTCACACCCTCCCGTCGGAGGTTAACAGCTGCTTTTGTCACGTTGTCTTCTGAATCTCGGTGGGTCACCAGCACGGCAATCTGGGGCACCCCCTGATTCTTCCGACTGCCATTCCGTGCACTAAAAACTTCCTTCCTGAGCTTTTTGATGGCAGCTCCAGTATAGGCCTTCCCAGTTCGGGGAGAAAGGTTCTGTATATGCTGGAGAACCTCTGACTTATTTATGCCCATGCTCAGTGAATTTATCACTTTTGTCTCATTGCTATAGGCCACAAGGCCAACCCTCATGCAATTTTCCTTTATGTCAAGGGCAGATACACTTTCTTCCAAGAATCCTTTAAGATAGTCAAAGTTCTCCTCACTTCCATTGATTGACATATCCAATAGGAACACAACATCGGCCATAGAAGGGCCTTGGCAAGCTGTGTGGCAAGAAATAAACAAGCACAATTTTAGCTGGTGGTTCAGCATCTTTGGTGAGCATTAGAAGGCATGAAGACCATACAGCAGAGCTCAGTTATGCACTTAGAGAAGGAGGTAGACAAATAATTATGAAGTTGAGGTTAAAGAGACCTGAGTTCAAATACTACATCTTAGCTAAACTCCCGGCTTCAATTTCCTCATCTGTAAAAGGGAGACAATATTAATCTCATAGAGTTGTTATGGGGATTTAATGCGACAATATTCTTAGCATGGGGCCTGGTACATAAAATTCATTCAGTGAACCATAGCCATTGCTATCATATTAAAATCATTTAAGCATCATCCACACTATAGTCAGCAGTTACAGTCCAAATATTCCTAAGGGATAGTAACGAAATAGCAATTGCATTTTCAGTTCTTTTATTTGGGAATGATGCTAGTAATAAGGACTCATAGTTTCACAGATGACCCCAAGGAAAGCATTCTCTATTATCAATAGGTAAGTATATATATCAGCTCATTCAAACTGATTTAATCAGGGATAATGTGAGTTTCCTATATAACATATTTGGACATGTACACTTTGAACACATTGTTTTTTACTGGCTATCCCCTGCCCTTCACTTGAATGATGATCACCAACTCTTGACCATTCTTGTTACTAGAGTAGTACAAGAGGACAGACCAGGAGAGAAGTTTGGCCACAGATCAGAACACAGGGAAAACTAATTCAGAACAGGGCAGCAGGAAGCAAGGCAGTCTGGAGCTGAAACTACATGGCTGGGAATTGGGAGATCTGGCCTGTTAGCTCTGACTTTAAGTCACAGCCTGGCCCCTGGGCCAAGGCACATCACTTCTAAGGATATATATAAGTTCTTTTTTGCAAAAAAACAGGGGGATCTGGACTTCTGGAAGTTGCCTTTAGGTCTAACATTCTATGATTATATTATGTGGTTTTAAGAGTCAAGAATTTCTTTAGAAGCAAACTTACCTTTTCAATGAACCAGTACTAAAACTACATAGCAACTAAAGCCCAGGGAAATAGCTCAGAGATCAGCTGGGTGGCAGGGAGAAAGCATCCCTAAATTTTAAGAAGTCTGTGAATGTCAGGCAACACAGATAAGTGAAACATGAAAAACCAAGACTTCTGGGCTTCACTGAATTGAAAATGGTCATAATCACTGGACTCTCTTAAACGATGGGTACATAACATCTGAAAATGCAGCCCATTTTGGGGATAGGAATATTCATAGAATTTCAATCCTCTCCCCATTTTAATTTTTCAAAAGCGTTTTATCATCATTCCTATACACATATCCTAAGCCCACCTTCTACAAAGATGTCATCAACTGCTCCCTCCTTGTACTTTATTACATCCTTGATGATGTGTGTCATGTTTTGGGAAAACATGCTGAGGTCTCTGACTGTCCGAAGGTTGAAATGAAACTGAGACGTGGCCATGGCCTTCAGGTTTTCCTCAGAAGCTTTCTGCACCCCTACAGAGATGATTTTCACTCCGTCTTTCCGCAGGGCCTTTGATGCCTCTTCCACATTATCCTCAGACTCAGATGAAGCCAGGACCACTAGAATTGGGGGAAACTGTTTCTTGTCTCTCCCATTTGCGGGTGCAGAGAAATAAGTCCTGTGAGCCTCCTGAAGAGCCTTTCCTATCTGCAGGGACCCGCCAATGAATCCAAAGTTCTTCCTTAGGTGGTTCAGCATGGGGCTCCTGCCTTTGAAGGTGCTCAGGTGGAATTCACTGTGAAGTTTATCACTGTACTGGGCCAGGGCCACACGGTATTTGTCGGCCTCTATGGGGAGACTGCTGATCATTTTGGTGATGAACATTTTCACAAATGGGAAGGACTTGGATCCCAGGCGATCAGAGCTGTCCACCAAAAACACAACATCTGCATACTCAGGGCCTGCAAAACCACAAACATATGAACGAACCAAAAACTTTAAAAAATTTACTGCCATATTTAATGCCAACTCTATGGCGGGGAAGTACTTTCCTTTTTATTTTTAAAATACCTTCCCAATAAACCGAAAATAATAGCCTGCAACTGCACATTCTCTCAAGAAAAAGAAATAGCTGTATCTTGGGCTGATTCTTTTAAACAACTTCTCATTTGAACTTATCACAAAATTAAACATAACTTTTGCAAGGAATTGGTTAATTAGAAATAGTGATTAACAATAGTGACTGGAAAAATAAAACAGAAATAAACAGAGAAATAAAAAATCATGGGTTTTATACCTTTTGTGGATAATTTCCTCTTGTAGTTTTTTTGGCTTTTGGAATTTGATTTCAACTATGTCAACTAGATAAAAATTTTAATTGAAACTCAAACTCCATCAAATTCACTTTAATGGTAAAATCTGAAAGATGGCCTTTCTCATTTAAGCAACACAACAGTTTATCTGATTAACTTAAAACCATATAAGTTGTACATTCCAAACAGTCACATTAAGTTTAAAAAAATCTATAAATCATAAAAATATGGAATAGTCAATCTTTTTCAAGGTTATTTTAAATATCTTAATATTTTTGATGAATTACATGAATGAGCATTATATTATAATTGGTGAATTTTATTCTCACACATGCAAAATGTGATGGCACCAATGTATCTTGGGCTAGAAAAGGGATTCTAGTTTTAGTTTCCATTAAAAATATAAGTTTTATATAGGAATGTAATACTTTGCTTAACCTTTAAAGCTTCATTCATTGTTAGATTCAACACTACTTATCTGGTACTACATTTTTACATGATATAGAATCATTGGATTCAAACACTAACTGTTGTTTAGTAATGGTCTGCTGGTTTGAACTCAGAGCTCTCTCTACCTTAGCATAAGATCCATTTCTTGTCTGGGGTAGGGAGGGAAGTATATGTGTGGTGTATGTTTAAGGAAATACAGCATAATGGAACAAGTCATGAACACCCTGACTTTACCTTCAGCTAACTCTATGAGCTCTGTCAAGACATTCAATACACTTGGGCCTTAGTTTTTTCTTCTTTAAAATAAGTAGATTCAGCCGGGCGCGGTGGCTCACGCCTGTAATCCCAGCACTTTGGGAGGCCGAGGCGGGTGGATCATGAGGTCAGGAGATCGAGACCATCCTGGCTAACAAGGTGAAACCCCGTCTCTACTAAAAATACAAAAAATTAGCCGGGCGCGGTGGCGGGCGCCTGTAGTCCCAGCTACTCGGGAGGCTGAGGCAGGAGAATGGCGTGAACCCGGGAAGCGGAGCTTGCAGTGAGCCGAGATTGCGCCACTGCAGTCCGCAGTCTGGCCTGGGCGACAGAGCGAGACTCCGTCTCAAAAAAAAAAAAAAAAAAAAAAAAAAAAAGTAGATTCAACTAGAAAACATCTAAGGTACCTCCTCACTCTGAGATTCCAATTATCTAAAATGGTTACTAGGTAAGTTCTAATCAAATTAGAATAACTTCAATCTTTTCCTTTCTACACTGGCTGGGAAACCAGCTTTGGCAGACCTGTGTGTTATTTCATTCCTTTTATGGCCATCTGATCGAGGCATAATGGGTAAAATAATTTCTTGTCTTTTAAATAACCCAAATCTAACCACTCTGAGATTCTTTTCATGATTATACAGCCAGCAGCATCTCAGGGGAAGAAATAAGTGAGAGTGTATCAACACCTTCCTCCCAAAGAAGCCTGAAACCCTGTGAAGACTGCCAGGGGAGCCCTGCCGTGGGTGGCTTGATTTGTGACCACCAGTGACTTTCTATTCATGAATGAAGCCCTACATCTTTTGTGGAGAAAGGAAATGTAGATGAGTGGCACATAAGGCGGACTCAGGTTCTGATAAGGTCCATCACTACGTCTGAACCATGAAACAATGGAGGAAAAATCATGGCTTCTACTTGAGAAGCTCAAGGCTTAGAGATACATCAAAGGAAGATGTTTGCAGGGCAAAGTCTGGTTTATGTCTTCACAAAACTTGCTTACAAGGTCAGTGTCCTCGAGGAAGTTGTAAAAGCCAATGTAAGTTGCTCTGGACAAGAACCAATTATTTAGGAGATGGTGAGGTGGTTAAGGGTGTGCTAGTGTCTTAAGTCCACAGGACAGAGATTGCCAACAGACAGAAGGCAGTGCTATGAAGCTTTCTCTCCAGGGAAAAAGCACTTTCTTCACAATAAGCAGCCAAATAATTTAATCTGGAGCAAATCTGGACACTAAACCAAGATACCCTTTTGACACAAATGAATTAGGATGGGACATTCCAAGTTTTCCAGGCCTGAGCCTAATATTAACAGAATTTTTATGCAACCTCCCAGAAGACCTAAAAGGGGTTGAAGCAGGACAAAATGACAGCTCTCATATCTATTATTAACAAGGAATAAGATCCAGAAACAAATGATCTTCAAAGGAATATGGAGTGACCTTACAAAGAATTTGACTTACCGCCCTTAATCTCACTACCATCAAAATCAAAACAAAGTGATACAAAACTTGTAACTTTTAAATAGGTCAAACTCATGTATTATCTATTTTCTATAATCAAAATTAAGAATTCTTTCCAGTTTTTCCTTACCGGAATCTTGGTTCACAGAAATATGGGAACAAATTATCACGAGGAACAAAATTAGCAACATCATATTATGACCTGAAAAATCTTCAACTTCAAATCTGAAAAGGCAAAAATATAAACAAATTGTTGTGGATATTATTTGGGAATTAAGACTCACATACAAGAGCATACAAAATTATATAATAAATTGGGTGTAACAGGGGACAAGGAATTTCTGAGGTTCACTGACCTTCTAATATGTGAAATGCCTTAGAGAAAACAATCCATCAATATTTACAAAGTCGTAAGAGTTTTTCTTGTCCCCAGACCTAGTAGAAACATGAAATTTTGGACAGTTGGTAGAAGGAGCCAGATGGATTTTAGTGCTAACAATATTACGCGTTCCTAGTATTTATTTTCCTGTACCCTAGCGCCATCCTCTATCTATTCATTGCTAAGACAATTCAGGGTTCACAGTTAGGACACACCCCAAGACCTATTTCATAATCTCGCCATCATGAATATGTAGGTGTACTTTATCTTTGAAGACTAATTATTTTTAGATGTGATCAAAATTACACGTTTTTTCCTTTTCCTCCCTAACTGAAACAGTAGCTATTTCAAAACAAGCAGTGATTTTCCATATTCCATATAATGTCTTGCTCCTCAGAATAAGGAGCTCAGCTTACACCATTTTATGTCCAACTTCCCAGAACTGCATGAGGCAAGGGTTTTCCAATCTCATTTTGGCCTAAAGCATTTTCAGCCACCTTGAAATGTTCATTTTATGGAATGAAGCAGGATATTAAATGCATTGAAAATAAATATTTAATGAAGCAGGTTGGGCTTATTTTTTGCTCATTTATTAATTGAACAAAAAATGAATTGATCCATTAATAAACCAGTGTCTCCATGTCCTGCTTAATTGTGCAACACTATATATGTTTATCTCACCCTATACCAGGCAGGCTCTGAGTTTCTAATATTCAATCTCTTCAGAAAAGGGACATTTATCATGAGAAGTTCCATCCCTGTTTCCTCACCTACATCACTGTCCTTCTGACATTCTGCAACTTGAGACTCTCTTCTAGTCCTTCACAAGTCTAGACGATGTAGAGTTTTCAGTCTGTATATAAATTTATTAGTTCTATTCAAGTTGTAACCAGTGAGCTAGAAAAAGATGTCAGGAGGCAATGTGTAGTACAAACCTTTTCATTTTAGAGAAACTAAGTCCCAAAGTGGATTTCCCGAAGTGAAAACCAAGTCATACCATCTGTACAATTTTTATTAATGTGTATAACAATAAATAATAAATTCTGCCATTTGTTGAGCTTTCACTATGAGCCCTGCCCTGTGCCAACAGCTTTACATTTGTTCTCCTGTTTGATATTGGTAACAACTCTAGCAGCAGGTATTATTACTATTCTTGTTCTTATTTTGCAAATGAGGAAACAGACTTTTAAGGGGAAGTAACTGATGCAAGGTCACATTGGTAAAGTGAGCCACAATTTAGACTAGAACCCACATCTGCCTGACTCCAAAACCTTTAAAACTCAGTTACCCTGCAGATTAAACTCAATGTTATGAACACAAAATGTCTTCTAGTTTCTTCATTCTACATCTTTTTTCTAAGAACTAAGAGACTTTGGTACTTGTTTTCATACCTTTTTATTTTTGCTTATAAAACCAGGGTTTTACACTATTTTCTTCCTTTCTGTTTATATTATGAGCTTTATAAATTATTGTAGTCTTTTGGAGTTATGAGAGAGAAAATGCTTTGGGAAGAATCCATAGGGCCAATGTCAAAAGTTTGCAAACAGTCACAATGGGAAGAAATCGGTATTGAGTGAAGGATGAACATCTGGACAGAGAAGCGAGGATTTGGAAAGGCTACAATAGTCCCAAAGCAGCATGCAGCATCTGGAAATTTCCATATGCAGATGTCAATCAATACCTCTAGTATTTACTCAAAAGTTAAGTTCTCTGGATTAGCATCTTGTGGAACAATTTTCTTGCAGTCTTTCAATGGAATCCAAAGTCTAGTGTGCTGTAAGGCTATACAATGTTGAAGCCCGGTGAAGCGTTCTTGAGGTGTGTGTGCCTGACTTTGTGTGTGCATGGGGTGGGTGGTGTATGATAAGGCAAGCTGTAGGACCAAACCTCCAAGGTCATGCTCGGGAGGTAGGGAGAATGGGCTCATTTACACTGTATCAAAACACAGATGAAGTGCCTGCAATCTGTATGTTGTTCTATTACCAGTTATGACCAGGATTTTCATACTTACATTATAAACAAACATAACCGATCACCTGAAGACAAGTGAGGGGAGAATGAAGGTGAGGTTTATTTAAAGCAATCAACATAAAATTTAAATTCATAGTAAGCTCTATCTTAACAGTGAGATTAATTGCCTCTCATTATAAACACTCTCAAAGGTACATGTCTCTTTAATCTGAATATGTTTTGCATTCAATTCATTCTGAATCAAGTAAGCTGAGGCTAATACTTTCTCTTTATATGCTATAAAGGTCTTTTTAAAAAATCTAGATCTCTGTAAACTAGAATGTTTCTAATTTAAACTACAGCTGCAAAGCAACACAGCCACCCAAGACTTGGCTTCAAACCCAGAATGTTTAGAACTTGTACAACACCTCTTGGGGCTATTAAGAACGCGGAGTCTCAGAGAAACTTCTGCTCCATACAAACCAATTCATAATCCAAGTCCTATCTCTGAAAAAAGGTACTAAGAGCCCATAAGGGAAACAAAAGAGACTTCAGCAAAATTAAGATAAATATTCTTCCTTTAAAATAAGGTATGCAGGATACATCATTTTTAAGTACTGATTTTATTTTTCTTCAGAAACAAGATTATCACTGTTTTACTGTAAGAAACAACATTGGGTCTCTGCCACAGTGTTAAAGATAAATGATCATTTGCTTATTTAACCCCTGATGTCTTCATTATTTCCTTTCTGCAAGCCATTCTACTCTGAAGTCAAAAAGTAAAAAGAAAAATATTCAGAGTGAGCCTTAAGTTCATGTTAAAATGCTGCAGGATAAATCCTTGGCACGCAATAGGCACAGACAAATATTGAATAAATGCTGGTGAGAAAAACAAAACAAAAGCACTTGTGGTACAAGCAAGTTGCACAGTTTTTACTTTCCCCCAGTTGCATTTTCTGGAATTACAAAAAGGAGCTTTGTATGTTAATCATATTTGAACAGGGTCATGCAGGTGAACTTGCCACTTTATAAAATGATACTCTCCTGTGTAGAGGAGGTGTTTGGCTGAGTGAAAAGTGCACAGGCTATAAGGTGTCATGGCCTGGGTCCAGCTCCATTCCTAAACTGCCGTGTGACCTTAAACACCATCACCTAGGTTCCTAATCTCAAGCATAAGGGATTACAGTCTCTCTCAGTCCAAGCAGTTCCACACCTTAACAGTTTTCTGACCTAACAAATACAAGTAAAATAAATAAAAATATGAATAATTAAGCCAAGAGCACATTTGAACACTGAACGCCTGTTTTGAAACCATCCCCTGGAGAAAACTGCCCCTCAGATGACCACCTATGGCAGGCCCTCTGTGGGAAGGGCTGGCAGTAGCAAGGGAGGGAGCATGTCTTCAGCGCTGATCCTTTCTGGGTCAAAACTTGTTGGAATCCTTCAGGATTCACCCATCTACATGAACTTCAGGGGACTAAAATTTTAATAGTGCAAAGAATCCACTAGAAATTATGTGCCCAACACAGAAATTAGAAAAAAAGAATAAATCTAAGAAATAGATACTACAATACTAAAAATTAAAGCAGAAATCAAACTCAAAAAGAAAATTAATCTTTGAAAAGAAAAATCTCAGAACAGACTGATCAATAATAAAAAGAGAAAATGCAAATAGATAATCATATAAATGAAAAAGGAGATACAACTAAGGATAAGGAAAGTATTTTAAAGAAATTGTAGTTAAAAATATTCACAGAAAGTAAACACCAGGCCTTTGGAAAGTTCCACCAACCTTTCAAGAAACAGATTATCTGAATCTTTTATAAAGTATTTTAGAGAGCAGAAAATAAAGGAATATCAGCCATCTTATTTGTATAGGGCCAGTATAATCCTGATATATAAATCAAACAAGGACAATATGAGAAAGGAAAATTAAAGGCCCATTTCACTCATGAAGATAAATATTAAAAAATCCTAAACAAGACATTAGAAAATTAACTCCCACAGTATATAAAAATCATGCCTTTTGCAGCAACATGGATGGAACGGTAGGCCATTATCTTAAGTGAAACAACTCAGAATCAGAAAGCTAACCACTGTGTGTTCTCACTTGCAAGTAGGAGCTAAATAGAGTGTACCCATGGACACAGAGTATGGAATAATAGTCCCTGAAGACTGAGAAGGGCAGGAGGGTTGCAGGGGAGTGAGGGATGAGAAACTGCTTAATGGGTACAATGTACACTACTTGGTTGATGGTCACACTAAAAGCCCAGATTTCACCACTACACAGTATATCCACTTAAAAAAAAACTGCATTTGTATCCCTTAAACTTATAACAAAAAAGTTAATACACCACTATCAAGTTGAGTTTCTCAGAAATGTAAAGATGTTTTAAAATTAAGAAATACATAAATGTAACGCACATTAATAGCTTAAATAATAAACTATAAATATTTTTAAAACCCCACAAAAAAAACCAAAAAACACCCATCATTCAATTCATGATTTTAAAGAAAAACTTAGCAAATTAGGAGTAGAAGGAAACTTACTTAACCTAACAGAAGATATATTTTAAAAATCTGGAATACATATCATCCTAATGGGGAAATGTTAAAAGTATTCTCTTTAAAATTAGGAAAAGGAAAAGGTGATCCACTCTTATTCCTAGGTGCTAATGAATTTAAAGCCACAAAGATTGAAAAAAAAGAACAGGGACAGGGGGCAAGATGGCAGACTAGCCGTAGCCAGGGGATCATTTGTTAGCAAGGGACTGGGACACTGGGGAGACTGACACACTCTCAGACCTTCAGAGCAAAGGCATTGAGAATGGACAGAGGGAGGACACAGATCTGGGGCTGAAGAGGGAGGAAGCTGGGAACCACGCATGGGACTACCACACACCAGGTCTTGTTCCTGGCACCCAGTGACTCCTGGGGAAGGGGTGAGTTCAACAGGTGAGGAGCAACTTGCTCTCATTACAGACTTCTGGAATCCTGGAAGCATGAGACCCCAAAATCGACACTGGAAATGGCAGAGAAAGCTGCTTAGAGAGGTGGTAGGGGCAGGACTCCAGCCTATGCAGAGCCCAAAGAGTTTGGTGTGGGAACATATGCAGTGGAGCGTGGCCAGAATGCCCACGCCCTAAAGCTCACCCTGCCTTAGAGGAACTGTTGGACCTGAACAGAGTACGGCAACATTGTCCATGAGATGGAGCCAGTCTGACCTGAGTGCTGCCCTGTCTGCTGGCCTCTTCTGGGGCCCCAGCCTGGCTGCCCAACTGGGGTACCTCAACTGAGGTACCTCTCAGGGGCCCACGTCATAGCTCCTATGCTGGCCGACTGTGCCTGACCCTCAGAGTGCTCCAGCAGAGCAGTCCCTGCCAATATACACTAGCTCACTGACATGTTCCCCTCCCCCACTGCAGCCTCCCATGTTGCTTTCTTTACCAGTGAACACTCACCCATGGCCACCCCCTGCATCACTTTGCCAACATGCATGCACATGAGAAGACCTCACCTCCCCTTCTCCACAGGTGGATGTGTACACCTTATGGTGTGACTGCTGCCAGTGTGAGTGCACCCTGTGATCCCTCCACCACACCTCCAATGCCAGCATGAATGAGTGCATGGAGACCAGTGGCTCCCCTGCCCCACCGTTGCCACTGCCATCTGCATGAACACACACAGGGAGACCAGTGGCTCTGCATTGCCACCCAATGTGAATATGCACACAGAGGCCACCAGCCTCGTGCCCACCAGCACCCCATTCCCAGACTGACACCACTGCCAGTGTGAACGTGTACAGAAACACCAGCACCTCCACCTCCCAGCACCACCACTTTCATGAATGCCTAGATGGAGGTCAGCACGTCTGCACCAGCCAGCAGCCCACCCCCATGTCAACACCATTGCCACTGTGAAAGCACACATGAATGCCAGCAGCCCCACTCCATCTTGTGCTGCCACTATTATGAATACCTGCACAAGAGCTGGCACCCCTATACCAGCCAAGAAATGTGCACTCCAATGCATTATTGCTGCTGGTGCCACATGCAAAACTGCACAGAGCTTGCTGCCACCATCCAACAAAGCACTTTGGCTAGCACTACCCACTAGTGTGTTGTGTCCAGCAGTCCAGGGACACATTGGCCCCTTCAGCACAGTAGGTTCCTAACCTCAAGGGGCCAGAGAACAACGCCAGGGGCCTGATAACAGATCCACAGAGTTAGAGCATGCAGTCCAGCAGTGCTAAGCTGGGGCTTGGCCCCCTAGAATCTTCCAGAAATGATGCCAGTCAATACAACCATTCTTATACCACAATCAAACTCCCAAGGACATCAAAGATGAAAGCAAAAAAACAAAACAAAACAAAACAAAAAAAAACACAAAAAAAACCCACCGCAACACCCATTCAAAGGACAGCAACTTCAAGGATTCAAAGAACATCAGCCCATAAAGATGAGAAAGAATCAGTGCAAGAACTCTGGCAACTCAAAAAACCAGAGTGTCTTCTTACCTCCAAATGACCATACCAGTTCCTCAGCAATGGTTCTTACCCAGATTGAAACTGGCTGAAATGGCAGAAAAAAAAAACCCAGAGTATGGATAGGAATGAAGATCATCAAGATTCAGAGAGAGAGTCAAAATCAAATCCAAGGATTCTAAGTAATACAATAAAATGATACAGGAGATGAAAGAAGAAATGGTCATTTTAAAAAAGAACCAAACTGATCTGATAGAGCTGAAAAACTCACTTTAGGAATTTCAGAATACAATCCCAAGTATTAACAGCAGAATCAACCATGCTGAGGAAAGAATCTCAAAGACCACTTCTCCCAAATAACCCAGTCAGACAAAAATAAAGAAAAAACAAAGAAGAAGAATTAACAAAACCCAAAACCCTAGAGAAATATGGAATTATGTACAGAGACCAATCTATGACTCATTGGCATTCCTGAAAGAGAAAGAAAGCAAACAAACAACTTGGAAAATATTTTTCAGGATGTCATCCATGAAAGTTTCCCCAACCTGGCTAGAGAGGCCAACGTTCAAATTCAGGAAACGTAGAGAACCCCTGGGAAATACTACACAAGATGGCCATCCCCAAGACACATAGTCATCAGATCCTCCCAGGTCAAAATGAAAGAAAAAAAATGTTAAAGGCAGCTAGTGAAAAGGGGCAGGTCATGTACAAAGGGAACCCACCAGGCTAACAGCAGATGTTTCAGCAGAAACCCTACAAACCAGAAGAGATTGGAGGCCTATATTATTCAGCATTCTTAAAGAATTTCCAACCAAGAATTTCATATTCAGTTAAATGAATCTTCATAAAGGAGAAATAAGGTCCCTTTCAGACAAGCAAGTGCTAAGGAAATTCATTATTACCAGACCTGCCTTAAGAGAGACGGTCCTTAAAAGACTGCTACATATAGAAAGGAAAGACCATTACTGGCTACCACAAAAACACACTGAAGTACATAAACCAGTGACACCAGCAACCACACAAACAAGTCTGCATAATAACCAGGGTTAAGTTAACAACACGATGACAGGATGAAATTCGCACATATGAATACTAATCTTGAATGTAAACAGGCTAAATGCCCCCAATTAAAAGGCAGAGAGTGGCAAGTTGGATTAAGACCCAACTTAATCCAACCTAATAGTATGCTGTCTTCAAGAGACCTATCTCACATGCAATGACACCTATAGGCTCAAAGTAAAGGCATGAAGGAAAATATAGCAAGCCAACAGAAATGAGAAAAAAAGGAGGTCTTGCTATTCTAATTTTAGACAAAACAGACTTTAAACCAACAAAGATAAAAAAAAGACAAAGGACATTACATAATAGTAACAGGCTCACATCAACAAGAACATCTAACTATCCTAAATAGGTATGCACCCAAAACAGCAGCGCCCAGATTCACTAAGCAAGTTCCCAGAGACCTATGAAGAGATTTAGATAGCCACGCAATAATAGTAGGAGACTTCAATGACCCACTGCCAGTATTAGACAGATCATTGAAGCAGAAAACAAAAATATTCCGGACTTGAACTAGACACTGGACCAAATGGATCTAATAGACATACATAGAACTCTCCAGCCAAAAGCAATAGAATATACATTATTTTCATCACCACATGGCACATACTCTAAAATCAACCAGACATAAATAATCCTCAAATTAAAAAACTAAAATCACACCAACCACACTCTCATACCATGATGCAATAAAAATAGAAATCAATACTGATCACTCAAAACCAAACAATTACATGGAAATTAAACAACCTGCTCCTGAATGACTTTTGGGTAAATAATGAAATTAAGGCAGAAATTAAGAAGATCTTTGAAACTAATGAGAACAAAGATATAACATACCAGAATCTCTGGGATACAGCTAAAGCAGTGTTAAGAGGGAGGTTTATAGCACTAAACACCCACATCAAAAACTTAGAAATATCTCAAATTAACAATCTATTATCACAACTAGAGGAACTAGAGAACCAAGAGCAAACTGAACCCAAAGCTAGCAGAAGAAATAACCAAAATCAGAGCTGAAATGAAGAAAATGGAGATGTGAAAAAAAAAAAAAAACCCAAAAGATCAACAAATCCAGGGTTGGTTCTTTGAAAAAAATTAATAAGAGATGTTAGCTAGACTAATACAGAAAACAAGAGAGAAGATCCAAATAAACACAACTAGACATGAAAACGTGGGCATTACCACTAACCCCATAGAAATACAAAAAACTCCGATTCCTATGAACAGCTCTATGAACACAAACTAGAAAATCTAGAAGAAACAGATAAATCCTGGACACATACAATCTTCCCAAGAGTGAATCAGGAAGAAATTGAATTCCTGAACAGATCAATAACAAATTCTGAAATTGAATCAATAATAAGCCTACCAACCAAAAAATGCACAGGACCAGGTGGATTCAAAGCTAAATTCTACCAGCTGTATAAAGAAGAGCTGATACTATTCCTACTGAAACTATTTCTAAAACTTGAGGTGGAGGGACTCCTCCCTAACTCATTCTGTGATGCCAGCATCACCCTGATACCAAAACCTGAAAGACATACACACACACAGAAAAAAAAAAAGCTTCAGGCCAAGATCCTTGATGAATGTAGATGTAAAAATTGTCAACAAAATACTAGCAAACTGAATCCAGCAGCACATGAAAAAGCTAATCCACCATGATGATCAAGTGGACTTTATCTCTGGGATGCAAGTTGGTTCAACTCACACAAATCAATAAATGTGATTCATCACACAAACAGAACTAAAAACAAAAACCACATGATTATCTCAATAGATGGAGAAAGGCTTTTGATAAAATTCAACATCCCTTCATGTTAAAAACCCTCAACAAACTGGGGATTGAAGGAATGTACTACAAAATAATAAGAGCCTGATATGGTTTGGCTGTGTCACCACCAAAATCTCAACTTGAATTTTATCTTCCAGAATTCCCACATGTTGTGGGAGGGACCCAGGGGGAGGTAATTTAATCTTGGGGCTGGTCTTTCCCTTGCTATTCTTGTGATAGTGAATAAGTCTCACAAGATCTAATGGGTTTATGAGGGGGTTCTGCTTCTGCTTCTTCCTCATTTTCTCTTGCTGCTGCCATGCAAGAAGTGCCTTTCACCTCCATCCATGATTCTGAGGCCTCCCCAGCCATGTGGAACTGTAAGTGCAATTAAACCTCTTTTTCTGCCCAGTCTCAGGCATGTCTTTATCAGCAGCATGGAAACGAACTAACACAGAGCCATCTATGACAAACCCATAGCCAACATCATACTGAATGGGGAAAGCTGGAAGCATTCCCCTTGAAAACCAGAACAAAACAAGGATGGTCTCTCTCATCACTTCAATTCAACATGGTACTGGAAGTCCTGGCCAGAACAACCAGGCAAGAGAAAGAAATAAAAAGCATTCAAATAAGAGGAAGTTGAATTTTCCCTGTTTGCAGACAATATGATTCTATAACTAGAAAATTCTACAGTGCCTGCCCAAAAGCTTCTTGATCTAATTAACAACTTCAGCAAAGTTTCAGGATAAAAAAAATCAATGTACAAGAATCAGTAGCATTCCTATATACTAACAGCATCCAAGATGAGAGCCAAATCAAGAACATGATCCCACTCGCATTAGCCACAAAAAGAATAAAATACCATCTCATCAGGGAGGTGAAAGATCTCTACAATGAGACTTCTGAAACGCTGCTCAAATAAATCAGAGATGACACAAACAAATGGAAATACATTCAATGGTATTCCTATCAAACTAGCAATGATATTCTTCAGAGAATGAGGAAAAGAAACTACTTTAAAATTTAGATGGAACCAAAAAAGAGCCTAAATAGCCAAGGCAATCCTAAACAAAGCTGGAGGCATCACATTACCTGACTTCAAACTATACTACAAGGCTACAGTAACCAAAACAGCATGGTACTCGTACAAAAGCAGACACACAGACCAATGGAACCGAATAGAGCCCAGACATAAGGCTGCACACCTACAACCATCTGATCTTTGACAAAGCTGACAAAAACAAGCAATAGGGAAAAGACTCCCTATTAAATAATGCTGGAATAACTGGTTAGCCATATGCAGAAGATTGAAACTGGACCCCTTCCTTACACGATATACAAAAAAAAACAATCCAAGATGGATTTAAAAAACTGAAATGTAAAACCCTCAAGTACAAAAACCCTGGAAGATAACCTAGGAAATACTATTCTGGACATGGGACCTAGCAAAGATTTCATGACAAAGACATGAAAAGCAATTGCAACAAAACCAAAAATTGACAAATGAGACCCAATTAAACTGAAGAGTTTGAGGCCAGCCTGAGCAACATAGTGAGAGCCTATCTCTATAAGAAATTTTTAAAAGTGGCCAGATAGGGTGGCACAAGCTTCTCAAAAGGCTGAGGTGGAAGAAGTACTTGTGCCCAGGAGGTCAAGGCTGCAGTGAGCCATGATCATGCCACTGTACTCTAGCCTGGATGACAAAGTGAGACCTTGTCTCAAAAAAACAAAAATATGAATGAATCTTAGCAATATAAAGAGCGAAAACATGAATCCCAGAAAACTACATAGAGCATAATATCCTTTTTATAGCATTAGAAACAACTAAAGTTAATATAGGTTTAAAGGAGTATAAATGCGATAAAATTATATTTTAAAAATCAAAGGGATGGTTTCCAGCCTAGCATATAAGAAGCTTGGAGGTCATCGTGCCATCCTAACAAGTAAAAAGCTGAACAAACTGAAAAATCAACTATTTTTCTTAGATCTGTAACACAAGAAAGGTCACAGGACAAACCCCTGCCCCCATTGGAGAGACTAACAGGCAAATACAGAGAATCACAACTTACCAGAAAAGAAATCCATGAACTAAACCATCTGTGTGAACCCATGCTGGGGTAGGAAAACCTGAACTGCAATTGACAAACTGCAGGAGACTTAGAGTGTACAAGTCTGAGAAATAAAAACTCCAGGCGTAGAGAACCCACTTTTGTGAGTTTACCTCCTGGTGCTCTACTGGGAACTCACAGTGAATACTGGAGAGAAAAACCCTCATGCTTCTGGCAGAAGGAGACAATTAGGAGCCACTTTGAAATATGCCAGAGCACTTTGCTCTTCTTAACAAGTACTGCCCTCAGGGGAAAGTAGTTAAGGAGATCCTAACCAGCTGGGGTTTTATCAGAGCTTAACTGACCTGGAGGAAGAAATATCCAACTCCAACCCCCTTTAGATTTGCATGTGGGAGAAGGAAAACACCCATCTCCAGCCCACTCTAGCCATCCAGTCTCACCAAGGTGGGACAGGGGCCTGAGAAGCACTTGTGGAATTCATAGTCCAAAAAACACAGGCTAACTAAAAGACTGAGGCCTGCTCATAGAACTATGCAACACTTCCTCTCCTTACCACCACATTACCAAAGGCCTATTGACTGCAGTTCCTTTTACCCAGCACATTGCATCCAGCTACCAGGAAAAAATTACAAGACTTTCTAAAACGTTAAAAAAAAGTTTGAGAAGACATAGCAAACATCAGAACCAGACTCAGACATGGCAGGGATGTTGGAATTATCATACTAGGATTTAAAACAACTAGGATTGGCCGGGCACAGTGGCTCATGCCTGTAATCCCAGCACTTTGGGAGGCCAAGGCAGGCGGATCACCTGAAGTGAGGAGTTCAAGACCAGCCTGGCCAACATGGTGAAACCCCATCTCAAAATACAAAATTTAGTCAGACATGATGGCAGGTGCCTGTAGTGCCAGCTACTCGGGAGGCTGAGGTGGGAGAATCACTTGAACCCGGGAGGCGAAGGTTGCAGCGAGCCGAGACGGCACCGCTGCCCTCCAGCCTGGGTGACAGAGCGAGACTCCCTCTCAAAAATAAATAAATAAATAAAACAACTAGGATTAATATGCTAATGGCTCTTATGGATAAAGTAGACAGCACACAATAACAGATGGCCAATGTAAGTAGAGAGATGGAAATTCTAAGAACCCAAAAGAAATACTAGACATCAAAACATCATAACAGATCATGAACGCCTGTGATGAGCTTATGGGCAGGCCAGACACATTGAGAGGTGACAACATGCTGGCGGCCCTCACTCGTTCTCAGCCCCTCCTCGGCCTCGGCATCTGCTCTGGCCACGCTTGAGGAGCCCTTCAGCCCGCCACTGCACTATAGGAGCCCCTCTCTAGGCTGGCCAAGGCCGGAGCCGGCTCCCTCTGCTTGCAGGGAGGTGTGGAGGGAGAGGCACAGGCCAGAACCAAGGGCTGTGTGCAGTGCTTGCAGGCCAGTGCGAGTTCCCAGTGGGTGCCGCCTCAGCGGGCCCCCGCACTTGGAGTGGCTGGCAGGTGCCACCAGCCCTGAGCAGTGAGGGGCTTAGCACCTGGGCCAGCAGCTGCAGAGGGGGCGCTGGGTCCCCCAGCAGTGCCAGCCCACTCTTGCCACGCTTGAATTCTCCCTGGGCCTCAGCCACCTCCCTGCGGGGCATGGCTCGGGACCTGCAGCCTGCCATGCCCGAGCCCCTCCGCAGTCGGCTGCCTCGTGGCCCAAACCTCCCAGATGGGCGTCGCCCCCTGCTCTGTGGCGCCAGGTCGCATCAACCGCCCAAGGGCTGAGGAGTGCAGGCAGGCCGCGCAGGACTGGCGGGCAGCTCCACCTGCTGCCCCCATGCAGGATCCACTAGGGGAAGCCAGCTGGGCTCCTGAGTTGGGTGGGGACTTGGAGAACTTTTATGTCTAGCTGGAGGATTGTAGATGCACCAATCAGCACTCTGTCTAGCATAAGGTTTGTAAATGCACCAATCAGTGCTCTGTGTCTAGCTAATCTAGTGGGGACTTGAAGAACTTTTGTGTCTAGCTAAAGGATTGTAAATACACCAATCAGCACTCTGTGTCTAGCTCAAGGTTTGTAAATGCACCAATCAGCATCCTGTGTCTAGCTCAAGGTTTGTAAACGCACCAGTCGGTGCTCTGTGTCTAGTTAATCTGGTGACGACTTGGAGAACTTTTATGTCTAGCTAGAGGATTGTAAATGCACCAATCAGCACCCTGTCAAAATGGATCAATTAGCTCTCTGTAAAATGGACCAATCAGCTCTCTGTAAAATGGGCCAATCAGCAGGATGTGGGTGGGGTCAGATAAGGGAATAAACGCAGGCTGCCTGAGCCAGCAAAGGTAACCTGCTTAGGTCCTCTTCCATGCTGTGAAAGCTTTGTTCTTTTGTTCTTTGCAATAAATCTTGCTGCTGCTCACTCTTTGGGTCTGCACTGCCTTTATGAGCTGTAAACACTCACCTCGAAGATCTGCAGCTTCACTCCTGAGGCCAGCGAGACCACGAACCCACTGGGAGGAATGAACAACTCCGGACGCACCACCTTAAGAGCTGTAACACTCATCGCGAAGGTCTGCAGCTTCACTCCTGAAGCCAGCGAGACCACAAACCCACCAGAAGGAAAAAACTCCAAACACATCCGAACGTCAGAAGGAACAAACTCCGGACACACCATCTTTAAGAACTGTAACACTCACCGCGAGGGTCCGGGGCTTCATTCTTGAAGTCAGTGAGACCAAGAACCCATGAATTTTGGACACAACATGACTGAGGAATGAATGTCTGAGATTGAGACTAGCTCAATAGAAACTTCCAAAACTGAAAAACAGAAAAATGACCAAAAAACCCTGGAATCTCCGATAATTGTGGAGCAACTAGCAAAGATATAATATGTGCAAAATGGGAATACTAGGGAAAGAAAGAAAAAAAGAAGTAGAAGTAATATTTGAAACACTGAGAGAATTTTCCCAAATCAATGTCAGACACCAGATCGCAGATACAGGAAGCTTAGAGAGCACCAAGCAGGATAAATGCCAAAAAAGTACACCAACGCATAACACTTTCAAACCATAGACAATCAGAGATAAAGAAAAAAGCCTGTCCGGGCACAGTGGCTCACGCCTGTAATCCCAGCACTTTGGGAGGCCGAGGCTGGTGGATCACCTGAGGTCAGGAGTTTGAGACTAGCCTGGCCAACATGGTGAAACCTCTGTCTCTACCAAAAAAATACAAACTTTAGCCAGGAGTGGTGGCAGGCATCTGTAGTCCCAGCTACTCAGGAGGCTGAGGCAGGAGAATCACTTGAATCCGGGAGGCGGAGGTTGCAGTGAGCCGAGATCATGCCACTGCACTCCAGCCTGGGCGACAAGAGAGAAATCCCATCTAAAAAAAAAAAAAAAAAAATGCCTGAAAGCAGCCAGGAGGTGGAAAACCCTCACTTGGAGCAATGATGAGAATTACATTCAACTTCTCCTCAGAAATCATGAAAGTTTGAATAAAATATTTAAAGTTTTGAGATAATTCTGGGAAATTACCCTTCAAAAGTTAGAGAGAACCAAGACACAATAGAGAAAGGATAGTCTCTTCAATAAATAGTGCTGGAGAAATGGTATATCCACATGCAAAAGAATGAAACTGGACATGTATCTTACACCATCCACAAAAACCAACTCAAAATGTATAAAAGACCTAAATATAAGACCTGATATGATAAAACTCCTAGAAGAAAAGATAGGAGAAAAGTCTCTTGACATTGGTCTTAATGATTTTGGTTATCACACCAAAAGTTCAGGCTGCAAAGGCAAAAATAAATAAATAAAAAATAGATGGGCATACATCAAACTAAAATGTTTCAGCACAGCAAAGGAAATAATCAACAAAATGAAAAGGCAGCTTACAGATTGGTAGCAAATATTTGAAAACCATATATCTAATAAGGAGTTAATATTTAAAAAACCTCATACAATTGGATAGAAGAAACCTGAATAAAAAATGGGTAAAGGACCGGAACAGAAATTTTTCCAAAGATGACATACAAATGGCCAACAGGTATATGAAAAAGTGTTCAACATCACTAATCAGGGAAATGCAAATCAAAACCACAATAAGGTATCAGCTCACTCCTGTTAGGATAGCTATTATAAGAAAGATGAGAGATAACAAATGTTGAAGGTGTAGAGAAAAGGGAACCCTCATACACTGTTGGTGGGAATGTAGATTGGTGCAGCCACTGTGGAAAACAGTATGGAGTTGCCCAGAGAAATCAGAAATAGAACTACGTATGACCCTGCAATCCCTGCATCCCTCTTCTGGGTATATACCCAAAGGAAATGAAATTACCACCTTGTAAAGATATCTGCACTCCTTTGTTCATTGCAACACTGTTCACAATAGCCAACATACGAAAACGACTGAAGTGTTCATCATGGATGAATGGGTAAAGAAACTGAGATACACACACAGAAAGGGAGGGAGAGAGAGAAAGAGAGAGGAATATTATTCAGCCTTAAAAAAGGATATCCTCCCATTTGCCACAACATGGATGAGACTGGATGACACTATGCTAAGTGAAGTAAACCAGAAACAAAGAAAAAAACTGCATGATCTTATGATCTTACTTATATGTGGAATCTATTTTTTAAAAAGTTGAATACATAGAAATAGAGAATGACATGGTGATTACTGGGGGAAGCAGGAGGATATAAGGAGATATAGGTCAAAAGATATAAAGTTGCAGATATATAGGATGAATAAGTCAGGAGATTTAATGTACGTGAGAATTATAGTTAATAATATACTATTGTAGTCACAAGTTTCACTAAGAGATTTTAGACACTCCTGCCACTGTGTTAGATGAATGATATATTAATTTATTTGGCTGATCGTTTTACTATATATATCAAAATATCATGTTGCATATCTTAAAAATACACAATAAAAAAGTGAAGAAATACTTTCTCAAACAAAAATTGAGATAACTTGTAGACCTTCTTTGCAAGAAATATTAAAATAAACTTAGAAGAAAAATTATGTATGTCAGAAACTCATACATAAAAAGCATCAGAAAATAAAATACAACCATTTTTCTTATTCATAATTCATCTAACAGACAACAGATGAAAATAGCAATAATGCATTTGATTATATATGCTTGTATGTGTGTGTGTATATATGTGTGAAATGAATGACAGCAATGTTACAATAGATGGAAGGGAGAAATTAAAATTATTATATCTTACTTGCCTTACTCATGAAGCAGTATAAGTGTTATTTGAAAGTAGACTGGGATTAGTTGCAATGTATATCGTATACTCTAGGCAACCATTAAAAACAGCGTAAAAAAAGGAAGTGTAACTGTTATGCTAAGCAGGGAGGGAAAATGTAATCATAAAATGCTCAGTTAAAACCACAAAAGATAGACAAAGAATGGAAGATAAAAATAGGAACAAAGAAAAAGGGCATCGAATAGAAACAAGTAACAAATATGGTAGTTATTGATGCAACTATATCAATAATCATTTGAATGTCAATGGTCTAAATGCCCCAATTAAAAGACAGTTTGTCTGAGTGGATCAAAAAACAAAATCTCACTATATGTTCTGCACAGGAAGCCCACTTTAAATATGAAGCCAGATATAGATTAAGAGTGAATGGGTCAGACACGGTGGCTCACACCTGTAATCCCAGCACTTTGGGAGGCCGAGGTGGGCAGATCACGAGGTCAGGACATCGAGACCATCCTGGCCAACATGGTGAAACCCTGTCTCTACTAAAAATACAAAAATTAGCTAGGCATGGTGGCACGTGCTTATAATTCTAGCTACTCGGGAGGCTGAGGCAGAAGAATCCCTTGAACCCGGGAGGCGGAGGTTGCAGTGAGCCGAGATGGTGCCATTGCACTCCAACCTGGTGACAGAGCAAGACTCCTATCTAAAAAAAAAAAAAAAAAAAAAAAAAAGAGTGAATGGATGGAGAAACATGTACTATGTTAACACTAAGCAAAATAAAGCTGGAGTAGCTATATTAATTTCAGACAGATCAAACTTCAGAGCAAGAAAAGTTATCAGGGATAAGAAATGACACTACCTAATGACAAAGGAGTCAATTCTCCAAGAAGACATAATAATCCTTAACAGGTATGTGCCTAAAATCAGAGTGTCAAAATACATAAGGCAAAAACCAATAGAACTGTGAAGAGAAACAGATGAATCCACTATTATAGTTGAAGACTTCAATACCCCTCTATCAGAAATAAACAGATCCAGCAGGCAGAAAATCAGTGAGGACATAGCTGAACTCAACAATGCCATCAATCAACTGTATATAATGGATACCTATAGACTACTTCATCCAACAACAGCAGAATATACATTCTTCTCAAGCTCACATGGAACATTCACCAAGATAGACCACATTCTGAGCCACAAAACACGTTCACAAATTTAAAAAAACAGGAATCATACAATGTCTGCTCTCACATGACAATGGAATTAAACTAGAAATAACAAAAAATGTAGCTGGAAAAATACCAAAACACATGGCGATAAAACAACATACTTCCAAATAAAATGAGTAGAAGAAAAAAACAAGAAATTAAAAGATGAATAAAATGAAAATAGAAGCACAGCTTATCAAAATTTGTGTGACGCAGTGAATTAAATCCAAAGCAAAGAAAAAAGAGGAAAAAAATAAAAATTTTAAAAAGAAATCAATAGAAAAAAAAAATCAACAAAACCAAAAGATGGTTCCCTGAAAAAGAAAAAAAAAACAATAAAATTGATAAGCCTTTAGCCAGGCTAACTAAGAAAAAAAGAGGACACAAATTACTAATGTCAGAAAAGAAAGACAGGACATCACTGCAGATCCCATGGACATTAAAAGGCTAATCAAGGAATATTATGAAGAACTCTATGCCTGCAGATTTGATAACTCAGATGAAATGGACCAATTCCTTGAAAGACACAAGCTGCCAAAACTCACACAAGAATATACAACCTGAACAGGCTTATCTTTAGTAAGTAAATAAATAATAAACTTCCAAAACAGAAAATATCCAACCCATGTATGTTCACTGGTGGGTTTTGCCAGACATTTAAGAAAGAAATTACACCAATTTTATACAATGTCTTTCAGAAGATAAAAGCACAGGGAATACACTATATGTCATCAGGAAAATGCAAATTAAAACAAGGTACCACTACAAACCTCTTAGAGTGGCCAAAGCCCAGAACACTGACAACATCAAATGCTGACAAGGAGTTTGAACAATATGAACTCTGATTCATTGCTCATGGGAATGCAAAATGGCATAGCCACTTTGGAAAACAGGTTGGCAGTTTCTTGCAAAACTAAACCACAAGATCCAAATGAGTTGAAAACTTATGTCCACACAAAAACCTGCACATGGATGTTTCTAACAGCTTTATTAGTAATTGCCTAAACTTGGACGCAACCAAGATGTCCAGCAGGTAAGTGGATAAAGAATCACTGGTCCATCCAGACATTGGAATAGTATTCAGCACTAAAAACTATCAAGCCATGAAAAGACATGGAGGAAACTCAAGTGTTTATTGCTAAGTGAAAAAAGCCAATCTGATCACTGTGGCTCTGATTTTCATTTCTCCAATGATCAGTGATCTTGAGCTTTTTAAAAATATGTTTGTTGGCTGCATAAAAGTCCTCTTTTGAGAAGTGTCTGTTCATGTCCTTTGCCCACGTTTTAATGGGGTTGTTTTTTTCCTTGTAAATTTGTTTAAGTTCCTTGTAGATTCTGGACATTGGATTCCTCAAAGACCTACAACCAGAAATACCATTTGACCCAGCAATCCCATTACTGGGCATATACCCAAAGGAATATAAAAAAATCTATTATAAAGATATATGCACACATATGTTCACTGCAGCACTATTCACAATAGCAAAGACATGGAATCAACCCAAATGCCCATCAGTGATAGACTGGATGAAGAGAACTGGTACATATACACCATGGAATACTATGCAGCCATAAAAAGAAATGAGATTATATCCTTTACAGGGAAATGGATGAAGCTGGAAGTCACTATCCTCAGCAAACTAATGCAGGAACAGGAACCCAAACACCTCATGTTCTTACTTATAAGTAGGAGCTGAACGATGAGAACACATGGACACAGGGAGGGGAACAACACACAATGGAGCCTGTTGAGGGAGGGTGGGGTCAGGGAGGAGAGCATTAGGGAAAAGAGATAACGCATGTTGGGCTTAATACCTAGGTGATGGGTTGATAGATGCAGCAAACCACCATGGCACATGTTTACCTTTGTAACAAACCTGCACATCCTGCAATGTATCCTGGAGCTTAATTAAATTTTTTAAAAAAGAAAAAAAGGGCAGAGCACAAAGGATCTGTAGGTCAGTGAAATCATTCTGATACTATGATGGTGAACACATATCATTATAAATTGTCTAAACACATAGAATGGACCACATGAAGAGTAAACCCTAATGTAAATTATGGACTTTGGGTGATGATGTGCCAGCGTAGGCAGGTTCATCAATTGTGACAGATATCCCACGCTGATAGAGGATATTGATAATCAGGGAGGCTATGTATGTGTGATAGAGGATATATGGGAAATCTGTCCTTCAGCTCCGTTTTGCTGTGATGCTAAAACTGCTCTAAAAAAGTCGTCTATTTTTAAAAAGGAAATAACCATAAGGGTCAGGATAGTAGTTACATAGGATGTGGGGGGCAGAGAGAAAGGACTGAAAATAAACTCATTGTAGATATGTTATTATCAACATTCCAGTTTTCATGTGGTAGAGGTTTATGGTTTATTATTAACAAATAAGCAAATAAATAGAACCTCTTGCAAGGACCCATAAATGAGTATGTAATGAACTGTGGGTTAGAATTAACCCAATTCTATGTACCTGAAATCCAATAAATGTATATTTTTAAAAAACTCAAAATTTTTAGAATTAAATACTGTTGAAGGAAAGAGATCAGGCAATTAAGCCTCCAGTTCATTTAAATGCTGACAGCAGGTATGAAACAATTGCAGGGAGTATTTGTCCCACTGAGATGGTCATCTGTAATAAGTTTTGTATTAGTGTGGCAGGAAACAAGGAAGTGAAGAGCATATTTTGATCAAAAGAACCTTCCTTGAGCCCATAATTTTTCATGGTGTACTGCAGAACCCAATTAAAGGAACTCAAAGAAATAAATTTTTTTTTTTTTTTGAGACGGAGTCTCGCTCTGTTGTCCAGGCGGGAGTGCAGTGACGCGACTTGGCTCACTGCAACCTCCGCCTCCCGGGTTCACGCCATTCTCCTGCCTCAGCCTCCTGAGTAGCTGGGACTATAGGCGCCCACCACCACACCCGGCTAATTTTTGTATTTTTAGTAGAGACGGGGTTTCCCTATGTTGGTCAGGCTGGTCTGAAACTCCTGACCTCTTGATCCACCGGCCTCGGCCTCCCGAAGTGCTGGGATTACAGGCGTGAGCCACCGCGCCCAGCCCAGAAATAAAATTTCATCAATGAAAAACCACCTAGCAATAACCATAATCTCTGTGGCTGACACTTCTTAGTTGTTCACCAAAAATTAGTGCTGCCCATTCCACATTGAGAAGTTGTCACTGAGCCATGGCGGCCAGCAGGGGGCTATATTTTCTAGCTCCACTTGCAATGGCTAAATGAGTGCCAGCCAATGCAACCTCAGCAGAAATTCCCACAGGGGGCACCTCAATCTTTCTTCCCCTTCTGATTGGCTGGAATGGAGACAATCTCAAGCACCAAATGTTGAGGATGGCAAGGTTACTCTCAGCATGGGGACCTGAATGGCTGTGTGGACAGGGGCCACCCCATGAATGTGTTTACAGACCTACTTCTGTTAAATCAGTAATAATTTAACTTACTATTGTGTGTGCATCAGTATACATTTTTAGGTTTATTAGCTACAGCAGCAAGCATTACCCAATGTAGCCTCTAGCACCTATGATTGTAGGATAGCATGAAATAGTAGAGATAGGAGAGAAATTCTGAGCAGGGGATAGGAGGTGTGGGACAAATTCGAGGCACAGGCAGAATCACTCCACTGAAAATGACTTGGCAATACTGAGCTCACACTCCAATTATACTAGGATCCACCTGTAAGGCTGTGTAGGCTAGTAGTTAAACTCATGGATTCTGGCATCAGACTGCCTAATTAAAATCCTAGTTCTATAGCCCACAAACTGCATGACTAGGCAAGTAATTTAATTGCTTTGAACCCATTTCTCATCCATAAAATGGTGTTAGTAACCACATCCACTTCAAGGAATTGTTTTGGGGGTTAAATGAACTGATGTGTGTAAACGAGTTGGCACAGTATCTTCTTTGCAGCAGATACTAAGTAAATGTTAGCTGTTGTCATTATTTTTATTTTTGTTGCCATCTTTACAATGGGACAGCTTGTGAGTAACCTAGAAAAGGCACCGCCTGGCAAGGAACTTTATTTACTCTCTCTCCTAAAGTCTTTCCTTATCACATTTTCAACTCTTAACATGTCTACAGGCTTGTATAACATTTGCTTAGGTATAATATTTTGCAGATTTCCAAGTCTTTTCACAGCCATTATCTCCCTGAACCCTGAGAGTACCCCTGTAAAGTAGGTATAATTTTTTATTCATTTTTTACAAGGGAAACATCTAAGTCTTGGCAAAGTTGAGCATTTCCTCAGGTCACAGCCAGTCCTGCTGATCTGAGTCCAGTGCTTTTTCCACTATATCATATTGCTTTCCTTGAGGCAAAGCTTTGCATGCTATCCAGTTCTCTGCAGATGAAGGAATTTTATCTAATGTGTTAGAATGTACCAGATAATCTGTGTGTAATTATCTTTCACTGGAAATTTCTTTAAGTTGTCTTCTTTCTCAATGAATGGATACCAACTGCTGTGAATTTCTGCCATTGACAGCTAATCCCATTAAGTCTGAATAGAGGCTCTGTATCTCCAAGTTGCTGTTTTTCTGTATTTGACCAAGATACAAAAGGGCAGCCATACTGACACAATTTATAACGGCCAATAATGACATCAGCTAGTCTGAAATCTGTCCAGCAATACCCAAAGGACTAGAGAGGTAATAAAATATTTGGTCACTGATAAAATATTCATTACAGCTAAATCAAAAGCATGCATGGCAGGAAAAATGAGGTTTAACTGGTACTCTTGAATATCCCAGCAGCTAAGCCCAAAGTAGACATTCAACAAATATCTGCTAATTGTTGACCACCTAAGTTTTAGGCTTGGAAAAGCAAAACACAACTAAAGAGATTCACACAGGGTAGCATTTGAAAGCTAGCATGGATTTTCTCTATTAGCTCAAGTATTAAGTACCTTTGAAAAATAGTCTGACCTTGCATTGAGCAAACTAAGTAGAGAGAAACTCATAAGATCCCTGGGCTGACTGGCTACAGTTGGTGGGGTGTGGGGGTGTTTCTGGAACGAATAACAGCTACTACTGAGCACTACTAAGTGCCAGCCATTATTCTAAGAGCCACACTTAATTGTCTCAACAACCCGATGAGTACCAGACCCACTTTACAGATGAGATTGAGTTAGAGGGTTAAGTAGCTTGCTGAAAGTCACACAGCTATTAATTGATAGAGCTAGAACAAACTAATCAATCAAATGTGAATGTAGTGTCCCTAACTGTGTTAAGGGAAACAGACAATCTAATTGCTGAGCTGTAACAAATACACTAAAAAATAATTAACTGTTAAATAATGCACAGTTGAATATGACTGCCATCTCAGTAAGTGGTACCACTACTCACCAAGTTTCCTCAGCTAGAAACATAGGAATAATTAACTCATCTCCTTTCACATCCCTGAGCAGACACTGTTAGTTTTACTTAAAAAAATTAGATCTCAGATCCAGCCATTCGTCAATACCTTTTTTACTTCCACCTTAATCTAAGACACTATCATCTCACCTGAATTCTAGCAAAAGCTTTCTAATTGGACTCCTTGCTTCCACTCTGGCCAATTACATATTATTCAAGTGTGCTTCATTTTAAACTAAAAATGAGATAGTTTCACATCTACTCAAAACCCCTTTCCATGTTCATCAGGGCCTTCCATGGTCTAGGCCCTATTAATCCTCTGACTTCATCTCCTTCCTCTCTCTCACCACTCCAGCTGCACTGATTTCACTTTTCCTTGAACAGGACATGCTTGTTCTACCTGAGGGCCTTCACAGTTTCTGCTACTTTGGTTTCCTTAGATGTGTGTTTAAATATTACATCCTTCTTAAAGGGACGTTTGGTTAGCACCCTATTGAAAATAATTTCCCCTTCTCTACCCGTCTACTCCCAATCACTATTATTTCTCTTCAGAGGACTTGTCTTCGTCAGCGAATCTATTGTGGTAATATTTGTTTCCTTGCTTATGGTCTTTCCTCATAAGAATGTGAGTACCACAAGGGCAGGTATGTGTTTTTGCAGGCTGCACCCTGGAGTCTGGAACAGTGCCTGACCCACTGTGGTACTTGAATGAACAAGTAAATGAATGGATGTATAGGGATGAAAGAATGAAAAGAGACAGGTGTCTCTTGTGTAAGGACAGAAGGACTCACAGAGAAAGTGAGACTTGAGTGTGACTTTAAAGGATGAACAGAATTTGGTTATGTGTAGAAAAAAGTGGAGAAGAATTTGTTTCATGAAGATGCATGAGCAGAAATCACTACGTAAGACTAACTATTGGAGAAGTTTTCTGTATAGCAGAGTTTACAAGAGCATCCCCTTCTATAAAATCAAAAATAGAAAATTTGGCTCACTGGCCTGGAGAAATGGCTAGAATAAGGATATCAAACTCTATATATGTATCAGCTACCATTTAGTATTCATAGCAATTCTTTGAAATTCTATTATTTTCTCCACTTTCCAGATGAGGAGTTGAGGCTCAGAAGCTAGGTAACTTTTCTAAGGTCCTACAGTGATAAAGTAGTACAAATGGGATTTGAACCTAAGCAGTTTCACAGTCACAAGACTAATCAAAGTGTTTTACTGGAACCCTATATTAAAGAAGAATCATAGATAAGAAACTTAGAAGTCTGGTGAAGAGTAGATAGAGGGCTTCACCCTACAAAATCCATATGGTACAGGAGTCCCAAACTGAGGAATTAATGCAAAAACTGGTTTCAACCATGAAACTCCTCAGCAGCTGCAGAGGCAAAGGCAAAACTCTTTAGGGGCATTTTCACCACTTTAGGTGCATAGGAATCTCTCAAACACGTAAAAATAGCCACTGCTGAAGATGAGCGCAGAAAAAATTACAACTATGGAAAAAAAAAAAGAATCACTCAAAGGGAGGCAGAAGGTTTCACAAAGAGGAGATGTGGCATCCAAGACCACTGGCTAATAAAATAATTCAAAAGACACTGCAAAAACAAATTTGTGAAAAGTGCTTAAAGAGATGATAGAAAGCCACAGTGAAAAAAAGGAAAAGCATAAAATAGCTGGAGCACAAAAAAGTATAAAATGAGGTATGAATTTGAAAAACAACCATAAAAATATCTATCCATGGAAAATATGTGCACTGGAACTAAAATTGATTCATTAAACGTTGTGTTTTATATAGAACATTTAAAACAAGAATTAGTTACCCAGAGTAAAGCAAAGAAAAATAAAGATACAGAAAATATAACAGGGAAGTTAAAAGCCTGGAGTGAGAACAACTGACATGGGTCTAATAGGAATAGTGAGGGGGAAAAAAGAGAATGAGAGGCAATGTCTGAGGAGGTCATGGATGAGAATTTTCCAGAACTGAAGGAAAATACTATGAGTTCTCTTGGGTGGAGCAAATGAAGACTTGACTTGAGGAGGTAAAATAAATCAACAAATGAATGAGATTTGATGAGCAAATTTGTCATTCATATCGATAGATGCCAGACTAATATAAATGCTACTATAACATAGTAGGAAAAAACCCAATACTCATTATAATTCAAAAATGAGAGTGAAATAAAACATTAACAGAAAAAAATCTACTTCTAGATTTTCACGTGAAACACTACGATTAAACCCAGAAAAGAAAACGAAGGAAGCAATGGTAATAATTTGAATGTAGGTAAATCTAAGTAGGTGCTGGCTGTGAAAAAAAATAACCCAGGGTGGTTTAAAATCAAGTGTAGCTAAAACATTCGCAATAAAAATGTGAAAGATGAGAGGGAAGTCATCAAGGAAAACATACGCCTGAGTTCTCATGTTAGGTATTTACTAAGATAGGTGTTTACTAAGACTAAACTCTGATAAAATCACACACAATATTCCAAAGGCAGTATGTCAAAATGCAAACCCAAACCATTATGACTTTGGAAGAAATTAATGAAAATACAGTAAGTATAAATCATAAAGGAGAGGATTGGTGAATGGAAATACATTAAAATGTTAGTGCTGACAAAAGACATCATAAATAAGAAATAAGCTACTATAAGGAGTAATATATTTAATCTATGAATCAATATGAAATCACTGACTCCAGCAGAAAGATGAACAATGAATATGAACATGAAATTCACAGCAGAGGTAATCTGAATGGTCAATAGCCACATGAAAAGATCCTTAGCCTTATCAGTAACAGGGAAATGCATATTAAAACAGTGAGGTTCCATTTCCTTCCTATTAGACTGGCCAAAATGAGTTTGACAATACCAAAAGTTGACAAGGATGTAGGGAAGTTAGAACTTATATACATGGCTGGTGGGAATATAATTTGATGCACTCACTTTGGAGAGCAATTTGGCAATTTCACGTAAAATTAAAGATGACCTAGCAGTTTCATGTAAAGCAGATACCCTACAGAAACCCTGGTACATGTGTACAAGACAATATATGTTCGTAAAAATTGCAGACTATTAATGTTCATGCAGAGGTTAAAAAAGATTAAACTGGCGTGCACACACACATACGTGGGAATATTGTTCAAACATTAAATGAATACTTTAGATCTACATGCCTTGAAGAGGAATAAATCTCAAAACACAGTGAGAAAACTAGTTGTAGGTTGACATGACCTACCCACAACAGGGCTCCTATCCTTGGATGAGAGGCTTAGGGAAGAAGTCTCAGAAGTACAATACCATCCATGTAAAATTATTAAAACACACCAAAATACCAAGTGTTTAAGCAGAGGTACATTAAAACAAAACTTGGAACAATACAAATCAACTTCAGAACAGTGGTCCCCGCTGGGAATGCAAAGTGGAAAATGGGAGCAGAAAGGGGGACCAAGAGGATTTCTAACTTGTCTGTAATATTTTATTTTTTTAAAAAGTCTGAACAAACATTGAAAGATGTTATTGTTAAATCTGGGTAAGGAATAGTTATTACATTATTCACTATGCTTTTCTGTGTATTTGAAAAAAGTCATAAGAAAAAAGGAATGCTAAATGATGTCATGCAAGAAGAAGGAACAAACAAAGGTCTTTCAAAAAAGGAGTGTTCATATCTTGTGAAAACCAATCTGGTAGAGGGTTGGAGGGTAAGTGGCAAGGAGGTGACGAAGTGATGAAATCCATTGTTATTAAATTAGGTGGAGCACCTGTGCTTGACACCGTTTTTGCTTTTTTTTTTTTTTTTTTTAATTCCTGGGATGTAAGGCTATGAAAGAATTATTGACAGAGGCAACAAACTGCACTTGTTAGAAAATACGGTAAAATATGGCCGCTATTTCTTTGCCACTGCTGCCACTGAGAAGAAAAGTCGATTTTCCCTTCCCCTAAATCTAGGTTAGCTTTAATGACTTACTTGATCAGTAGAATGTGGCAGAAGTGATGGACTCAGGCTTTCAATGCTAGGTCATAAGAAACCTTGGAGCTGGCATGTAGGCTCCTGAGGCACTTGCTCCGGGCCAAGTCAGCTGCCAGTAAGGAGTTCCGCTATTCTGAATCCATATTGTGAAAAAATCTAAGCTAGCTCCATGGAGAGGCTTTGTGAAGAGGTCAGGAGAGATGCCTAACCAGCTCCCAGATGATCCAGCCCTCCCAGCCCAGGTGCCAGACATGTGACTGAAAACATAGTGATGACTCTGGCCACTATCTCACTGAGACCCTAAGCAAGAATTACCCAGAAACCCAGTCAACCCACAGAACCATGAGAGATATTACATTGTTTTTAGGCCACTACTTTTTGGAATGATTTACTTTGCAAACTTAGATAACTGGTGCATAAAGTAAGATCCAGTTTTAATTCCTTGAAGCACAGAATCTGAGGTGTCCACAAGTCATAGGAGTGGAGACATCCCACAGGCAGATGGACATGTAGTATTGGAAACTTAGTGAGTCACTGCTGTCACATTCATGAGTAAGTCACCTGCTTTGGTCAGTGTACCAGCCCCTGGGAACACAAAATCCAGCAAAGACAGCCCCGGACATCATGAAATCAGAGTCTGATTGGGGACGCAAGGGGTAGACCTGTGTTCACACAGGTGGGCGAGCCCAAGGTAGGAGTGTAGAAGATCAGAAAAGGGGCACATTAATGCCTTGGCAGAGTGGGATGGGGGGGTACAGAAACTATTTTTCTGTAAAGTGGCTGCTTTAATAAGTTCTGAAGGAAAAATACTCAGTGTCAAGCACAGGTACTCCCTGAGTGAATAAAGACAACAGACAATAGGGGTAGGGAGAAATGCTGATAAGTGGCATCATTTCCAGGAATTTGAAGTCAATAACTAGGGAAATTGCATCGCCTTGTCAACTGCCCCATTAGGTTATTTATATATTAATCTCAGAAGGACACAGAAAAGATCCTATTTCAAAAGCTATCAAAAGAAAATTAAAGCAAAATGCAAAATATGATATGCAAATCCATGCATTTACATGTTCATCTGGCATTTTTCAAAAGTCATATTTCATCCTAAACACACCTCCCAAAACCTCTTCCCCTGTGCTATCTCTATACCAGAAAAAGGCATGGTTTTTCTTTGAGGAAAACACATATACAGTATTTTTATAGTTTATAAATTGCTTTTACATTATAACCACTCTATGAGGTAGACTCTGCTCTTCTCATTTTATAGATGTTAACACTGAAATTCAGCAAGAACGAGTGACTCTACCAAGGCTACAAGCTGGTAAACAGCAGGATTTTGACTCAAATCAAATCATCTGCTTCTCTTTCATGGCTGCCCCTGCCTTCAAGGGGTTTCAATGGAGAAGGACAAAGCACAGGCCTATGAGACTATAAGAAGCACATTAGAAAACTCTGTGAAAAGACAGGCATGAGAGCAGAAGCTCAAGGGGGAGGCAGGTTATTAGAGCCACCTTTGATAGTAGTGATTTTGAGCCAGACTTTGTGGACAGTGTTTTGATGGGGAAAGGGAAGAGAATGTAGGCTATGTGGGCAGCAGAGCAGCACTGGTTCAATGGGAGTGAACTAGGGGGAAGAGCTCATACATTTTCCTTTTTATACCAGTTGTTCTCACCTGGAGATTTTCCATTCCCAGTGGACATTTGGCAATGTCTGGAAATATTTTTGATTCTGCTGGGGTGTGGGGTGCCACTGACATCTAGTGGGTAGAGGTCAACCCACTACTGTTGTTAGTATGCTGCTAATAGGATGTTAGATGCTGCTAAACATCCTGCAGTGCACAGAAGAGTTCCCCAAAATAAAGAATTGTGCAGCCCGAAGGTCAATAGTTGAGAAACTATATAGGTTGAAAAGCCTGGACCTACACATATTTAGCACATTGAATTAGGGTTCTCCAGCGAAACAAAATCAATAGGTACAGAAAGGCAATGTGTGAGTGGCAGAGAGAGAGAGAGAGAGAGAGAGAGAGACTGTGTGTGTGTGTGTGTGTGTCTGTGTGTGTGTGTGTGTGTGTGTAGAGGAGGGGGGTGGAGAGGAGAGAAAGAGAGACTTCAAGAAATTGGTTCACGTAATTATGAGGGTTGACAAGTCCCAAATTTGCGGAGTAGGCCAACAAGTTGGAAATTCCAGCAGGAGTTGATGTTGCCATCTTAAGTCTGAAAGCAGAATTTCTTCTCCCTCAGGGGACCTCAGTCTTTTTCCTTAAGGCCTTCAGCTGATTGAATGAGGCCCACATGCATTACTGAGGGTAATCTACTGCACTTGAAATCTCCTGATTTAAATGTTAATCATATCTAAAAAACACCTTCACAGCAACACGGAGACTGGTGTTTGACTAAATAACTGGGCCCCACAGCCTAGCCAAAGGTTAAGCACCCTAACATATTACAACCATTTAACTTTCAAAACCCTGTGAGGCAAATTTAATCCTTGTTTTAAAGACAAAGGAAATAAAACTCAGAGAATAAATTTTCCCAGAGTTGCACAGTTAATAATACTAACAGTTAACATATTTTCACCACTTACTTTGAGCAGTGCTGTGTTAACAGCTCTAGGTTATCTCATTTAATCCAATTCAGGTAGCTACTAGTATTTTTATCAACTCCATTTGATAGATGAGAATGCTGAGGTACAGAAAGGCGATGTAAATTTTCCAGAGCCAAACGGTTTTTAAGCAACAGAGCAAGGGTTTTGAGGCCAGGCAGTCCGGCTTCAGAGTCCATACCCTAATCCATGGTCCTCACACTGGAACAAGCTTCAGACGGTATTTTTATCAACTCCATTTGATAGATGAGAATGCTGAGGTACAGAAAGGTGATGTAAATTTTCCAGAGCCAAACGGTTTTTAAGCAACAGAGCCAGGGTTTCGAAGCCAGGCAGTCTGGCTTCAGAGTCCATACCCTAACCTGTGATCCTCACACTGGAACAAGCCTCAGAATCGCCAGGAGGGCTAGACTGAAACACTGACAGCTGGGCCACAGCCCCAGAGACTCTGAATCAGTAGGTCATGGTGAGCCTCAGGATTTGCATATCAAACAATGTTCCAGGTGATGCTAATACGGAAGGGCTGAGGACAACACTTTGAGAACCACTCCTCTAAACCACTGTGCTGCCCTCTGCTGAGGAGGGGGACTGAGTTCGTGCAATCCTCAAAAATTCACTGAGCCCCTGCCATATACCAGGTGTTGGAGATAAAATAACAAGGCAGTCATGGTCCTTTCCCTCATGAACTTTTCCAGGGCCAGGAGGTTAAATTTATGTCAACAGAAAGAGATCTGGCTTTAATAGAGAACCTCACTAAGGACTACAGGTGCTCCCAGCAGGGGCCCCTTCTCTGGGTGTGGACCAGGAAAGATACCTCAGAAAAAGCAGATGACTAAGCTGAGGAGAAGACTTGAAGGAGAAGCAGAAATTAAACAGGTGATTGTAATGAGGTGAGGCAGCATGTCCAAGGCAGGGAGATCAGCATGTATCTGGAAAGGCCCAGAGGGGACAGAAGAGCTTAAGCAGTTCAGCAAGCTAAGTCACAATAGGTTGCCTGTGTCTCCCTGGCATATCATCATACAATCTGCACAATACATTTTCTGTGCTCCATTTTCCTCATCTGTATACTAGGGATGAAAATACCATATTTCCTGAATTCAGAGTGAACATTTCCACTCCACCCTGATTTTAACATGCATGAAATCAGGATGTGTGTTACTAGAGATTTGTACACTTCCTGCTTTTTTTTTTTTTTTTTTTACATTTCCTGCTGTGTTTTTGTACATTTCCTGCTGTGTTTTTCCCCCCTTCATTGAAAGCTATTGGTCAACTGATGATCTCTCAGAATTAAGAAAAGATGGAGTCATTTTGCCTTGCCTATCTCCTAGGGCAAAGAGAATAAGGGGCTATCAAATGAGATTGAGGCCCAGAGTGGCTCTCAGCCCAGGCTGCACCTTGGCATCACCTGGGGATGTTGCCCAGGCTGGAGTGCAGTGGCGGCATGATCTCAGCTCACTGCAAGCTCCAGCTCCCGGGTTCACGCCATTCTCGTGCCTCAGCCTCCCAAGTTGCTGGGACTACAGGTGTCCACCACACCTGGCTAATTTTTTATAGTTTTAGGAGAGAGAGGGTTATGCAACGTGTCAGCCAGGATGGTTTCGATCTTCCGACCTTGTGATCCACCTGCCTACGGCCTCCCAAAGTGCTGGGATTACAGGCGTGAGCCACTGCTCCCGGCTTACCTGGGGAGCTTTTTAAGTCTATCAGTGCCTCAGTCCCATCCCCAGTGATCCTGATTTTATTGATCTGAAATAGGAACCTGATGGGTGATTATTCAAACCCAGGTGACTTTGATGTGCATCTGAACCTAAGAACCAATACCACCTGATTCTGCCCCAGGAGTCAGAAAACTATGGTGTGTGAGCCAAAATGATGCTCTGCTTTGCTAAAGCTTTATTGGAACACACCCATATCCATTCACTTATGTACTATCTACGGCTGCATTTACACTACAATGGCACAGCTGAGTAGTTGCAACAGAGACAGTATGACCTGCAAAGTCTAAAATGTTTATTATCTCACTCTTTATAGAAAAACTTTGCAACCCTTGCCCTATTCCATTGCTACTTAAAGAGTGGTCCTCAGATCAGCATGATCAGCATCACTGGGGATCAGAAATGCAGGATCACCTGTCCTACTGAATTAGAATAACAATTTAACAAGGTCCCCAGGTGATCTGCATACCCATCAAAGTTTGAAAAGCCCTGCCCCATGCCCATCTGGCCACTGCCACCCTCTCTGGCAACCTTTTTGTTCCTCTTTCCTTGTTCCTGCTCAGTCCTCGTCTCCAAGTCTTCATTGCAATGCTGCTGCCTCAAGGAGGTCCTTTCCTTCTGTCCTTATTAACTTAGGTTCCCTCTGAGATTTTTCTGTCATAGCATCTTATTATTTTTCATAGCATATCTCAAATCTATGATTAAGCTTTCATCTGAGTGTTTATCTCTTCAATGTCTGTCTCCTGGAAACCTCATAAGGGTTTGGGTCTCAGAGCATCAGAAACAGCTCTGAAAAATGTAAAGGCACACCAGGTGTTGCTTCCAAGAGTAGGGCAACAACAACAACAACAACAACCAAAAAAAAAAAAAAAAAAAAAAAAAGGAAAAGTAACATTGGAAGTAACTTGATGGGAAACAACAGATAAAGTTACTATGCTGACCATGGGGGATGCAGCCTAGAAGGTCCCAGATGATAAGCAGCTAGGTCAGGTTTAATTTCCTCTTTTTGTATTCTGGAGTAAATGATTAGTATTCAATCATACTGAAACTATGAAGTGCTTTGGTAAACCTCTGCAGAGCAAGGATCCAATTTTACCAGCTGTTCATTAAATGAAATATCCATATATATGTATCAGCAATTTAATTAGAAAGGCAGAGTGCCAAGGATGTGATCATTGCTTGGGAAAGTTACATTTCAGGCAGCTTTTGTCTTCCAAGAGAACAGAGGAGACTCTTAATTGTATTCTATTCTCCTTTCCCTCTTAATCACAGCTTGCCTCCACTGATTTTCTTCAAAATGCCCTTGGCGGGGGGTGCTGAACATTTTTGAATGGCTACCTTCTTATATAAAGATTAAGCACACCAGCTGCTCTTGCCTAAAGACCTATAGTGTCTTTCAAAACAGGACACAAATCAGATGGCTTAGGCTGACCTCTTTTGGGTCCTAAGCATAACACTCACCAATAGTGAGTCAAGATTAGTTATCTTTACTGGAGAAGAAAACAAGGTCAAAGAAGAGAAAAAAGTGTAATAGACTTGAGCTACCTCAACAGAGCCTCAAAGGTGATTAGAATAACTCTTGACTGCCATTCGTGAGTGCCAAGCTAAACAGACTAGTTATCCATTAGGAGTTTTTGAAACACATTTTGGCAACCCTTCCCTCCCCACAATAAAAGAGTATGAGGTTCACAGTGGCTCTACTGCAAGAGGAAAAGTAGCCTAAAAGAGGAATGTAGAGACATGGGTTCTAGTCTGAGCTGAGGCCTAAGGCCATTTCCTTAACTTAAACTCTCGGAGACCGATTTTCCTTATCTATAGAATAAGATCGTTTTAGTTTATGTATTTATCCGTTCACTTATTCATGCCTTCATTCAAGTAATATTTATTAAGCATCTATCACCTGGTAGGCAGTCAGGCAGTGGGTATGCAATGAAAAGTAAAAACAGACTTTTTTTTTTTATCTCATGGAGCATATAGTCCTTTGAAACTATAAGGTGCTGATTAAAGAATTACATGAATAAGTGTAAAGTTACAACTGTGATACATGTAAAAAAGAGGTTTCTCTGAAACTTCTGAGCCAATCCATCAGCAAGTCTTGTCAATAGTACTTCAAAACATGTTTTAAATGTAACCACTTTGCACCAGCTGCAAACCACATCACTGCCACCATCACTTCTTGGCGGAACTACTGCACTAACAGTACCTGACCCTTGTCCTTCTTCATAGATCCTTCACACAGCAATCAGAGGGATCTTTGAAGACCATAAATTAGATTGGTGCACCTATGTTCAAAATCTCTAGTGACTTTTCATCACACTTAGGCTAAATTCCAATTCCTTACACCCAGTCCATAAGGCTCTTAATGATGTGAGCCATGCCCATGTGATCTTTGATCTCATCTTTACTCTCCTCATTCCCTCCACTCCAGCCACTATGGCCTCCTTGCATTCCATGAACAAGCCCAAAGTTGTTCCTGCTTGGAAGTGTCCCCCTACCCGACTTCACAAAGAGGGACTCATATTCTCCTCCCATATTCACTCAGATCTCTGCTCAAATGTCACCTCCCCAGAGAAGCCTCCCTGACCACCCCATCCAAAATTACCTCCCACCTTTTTTATAGTCAGTCATTAGCTCCACAATTAATTTCTTAATTAAGGTAGCATGGAATACTACCTATAAGTCATTTATTGACTTCTCTGTTGTTTATATCCTCCTTGGAGCAGGGACTTTGTCTGTTTTCCAGCACCTAGAATAGGGTTTGTACATTAAAAAAAAATGCTTAATAACTATTTGTTGAATTATTATACACTGTGATGACATATATCACTACATAATGAGGAGAACTGATTAACTTGGAAAGTCCAGGGAAGGCTTCTTTGAGGGAATGCTGTTTGAGCTAATGATGAAGGAATGGTGAGAGTTAACTAGCCCAGGAGGAATGTGATGTTCCAGGAAGGGAGGATAGCTGATGCAAAGTTCTCGTGGCAAGAAGGAGAATGGCGTGGTCAAGGAAGCAAAGGAAGTCTAGTATAAATAGAACACAGGGAGAGAAGGGGAGCATGGCACTGAATGAGACTGGAAGAGAGGAAGAGTCCAGGCCATTCACAGCTTTGCAGGACCTACTCATGACTTCTGTCTTTTTCCCGAGATCGACAAGAATTCATGAAAAGATTTAAATTGTGGGAGAGCATAGAGGAAGAACCAATCACTTTTGCTTAAAAAAATACTTGAAACGATTTGTGAGATCCATTTCTGCTCTGAAATTCTAGGATTCTATAAAAAGTCAAACAGCAAAAAAAGGAGAATGGACTTTTGAAAATATTTACTAAAGTCAATTTCAATAACAGAGATCCAAGTCCCTGAGCGACTTCTCAAACATCGCCATTTTGAGTTTTATGTTCACAATGTTAGCAGTCTCCCTTTTTTCCCTCTTCTAAAAAATACTGAGTCAAAATTTCCTCTTACCATGAAAAATATGACTTCTGAACTGTTATTCCGAGCATCCAGGAATCTAAATTTTGTCCACATTAGAAGTTTCTAGGCTTTTGAAGCACACATTTTCCAGATTACCTGGCAGAATATACAGATAGCAGTATCAAGGTCTGAGTTTTAACCACATCCAGAATTCAAATCTCTTTCATTGGCCAGCTGTGATTTGAGCAATTGATGAACCTTGAAATCCTGGACTCTCATTTGTGAAAGCAGGATAATGGGTTGTTGTAAGGATTAAATGTGATAATGTATATAATATGTTTAATAAGTGCTGAGTTCATTGATGTAGAAAACTCTGGATTGGAGTATTTGAAGACCCACCTTGTGAAGAGCTGAAGTCATTCATCTCTTTTTCCCTAGGGTATTTCTATCCCAGCCCAAAATTGCTTAGTGGCTGCAGTTAGTGGCATGGCTTCAGCTCTGCATCCACAGCGCACATCTCCTTTCTCAAGGGGGACTTTAGCAGGGATGGAAGGCATGGAATCATGCAGTCGGTGCCCAGCACACTGCCCAACTTAACAACTTTTGCTACTGCTGATTGAGATGACATAGGAACATCTATTGCCTAATTGCTGTTTTCTCCATGAAGAAATTTAAAGACTTGATAAGAGCACTGAGAAATAAAATAAACAGATAAATAAAGTCCTTCATGCTTTTGGAAGTAAAAAGGCAACTACTTAAAGAATTTTGCAGCTAAGAATACATATTTATGAATTTATCTATTCAAGCTGATCCAAGAAAATGAGGTGGGACTCCAACATAGACAACACCATTAACCACCATTTTGCCTATTTTTCTGAGTATACTGACTGTTACTTACAAGTGACTATGTATTCCAAAATTGTTAGGATATATAGGAAAAAAAGGAATTTATACACTTTGTATGTTTAGAGTGGGGCAGGGCACCTCTGGCCCAGTGAACTTGAAAACTGTTTTGCTATGGACTATTAGGTAAGTGCGTCAAAGCAGTAACTTACTAAATACCTAAAAGCCCTTAAAATGTGCAGACAGCTCCCTGAGGTGCTATTATCCCAATTTCCACCCCAATTATGTACTTAATTCACCTCTCTAGTAAAAGCTAAGAAATTCTCTGCCTTCATCATTCACCAGTGCAAGCTGAGGAACTTGTTTAGTGCTTGCCTCTACCCAGTTACATTGCCTGTAAATGTACATCTCGGTTCCTGAGCATTTTGATGACAGTTCCCCGGAGGCTCAAAGATTAGGTGCTTAATGGTGCCATTTCAGGTTGATGACAGTACTCGTGGAGAAGGGGGAAAGAAAAAACCACGGAGGAGCGGGGAATAACTAATTAAGGCAGAACTCTTGGAAAAAAATCTCAGTTTAGAAATTGGATTCATGGCATTAACCCAGGGAATGCAGATATTGAAACTCAAGGAGAAAGACTGTTTGGAAGAAACTGTGAGGGAATTAGATGCCATTATATGTAGTTACATCACTTGCATTTCCAAAAACACACCTCTTGAAAGGTTTTAAAAGACCTTTTAGCTTTTAGCTAAATGATACT